>NC_000010.11:1525151-1676666 GCF_000001405.40 Homo sapiens | reverse complement strand
AAAAATGACAGGGAAGCCAGGCATGGTGGTGCCTGTAGTCCCAGCTACTCCAGAGGCCGAGGTAGGAGGATTGCTTGAGCCCAGAGGTCCCCAGTCTGGAGAATATTGCAAGATCCTATCTCAAAAATAAAAATGAAGGGGGAAAATTCCATTTAAAAGATAATATGGTTATGCTTATGTCACTCTCAGGTGCACCATTAAAGCTATTTTTCTTTAAAAGCAATGTCTAAATATGCTTCAAACATGGTGCCTTCATGAACTTTAAATAATGTATAAAATATCTAAGTCTATACAAGTCAATGGTTCACAAGCCAGGACTATCTAAGGAAGCCTTGACCATTCACTCAGCAGTTCTGGGTGGGGGCGTCTAGAGGCCCTTGGGTCTGTGAGCTGCACTCACAGAAAGTTTTGGACAGATCTGAGAAAACAGGGACTCTTATTTTCTTCTGCAGCAGAAGTGGGACTTTGAGCCTCTCTAATAATTTCCCAACTACCGATTAACTCACTTAATTTCATATTGCACATTTGCCAAGACCCAAAATGGCAATTTTGTCCTAATATGCCTGCAAACCTTCAGGGATGGATCCTGGACTCAGAAGCACCTGTGCACAGGGGCTCAGGTCAAGAGTTAGAAACGCGCCCTGACTCACAGCCTCTTACCAAAGTCGGGGGTGGGTGGGATGCAGCCCTTACTCCACATCTTCATCTAACTGGGCTCCAAGTCTGAGCAGATTCAACTCTGACCCACGCGGACCTCTGCAGCCCCTTCCTCTGAGCTGCCACTCAGAGCTGAGGCTGGCCTCTGCCCTCCTGCAGGGATCAGAGACACGGCTTCCCTTCACTCCCTGCAAAGGCCTCCCTTGTTATCTCACCTGTTACAGATGAGACATCACCAGCTCAGAGACTGAGTAACTAGCCCTAGGTCTCCAGGCTGTCAGCCAGAACATCCATGCATCCCTGAACCCAAACCTCCAGAACATCCATGAACCCCCAAACCCAAACCTCCAGAACATTCACGCATCCCTGAACCCAAACCTCCAGAACATCCATGTACCCCCCAACCCAAGCCTCCAGAACTTCCGTGCATCCCTGAACCCAAACCTCCAGAACATCCATGTACCCCCAAACCCAAACCTCCTGAACATCCACGCATCCCCAAACCCAAACCTCCAGAACATCCATGTACCCCCAAACCCAAACCTCCAGAACATCCATGCACCTCCAACCCAAACCTCCAGAACATCCACGGATCCCTTAACCCAAACCTCCAGAACATCCATGCATCCCTGAACCCAAACCTCCAGAACATCCATGCACCCCCAAACCCAAACCTCCAGAACATTCATGCATCCCCGAACCCAAACCTCCAGAACATCCATGCATCCCTGAACCCAAACCTCCAGAACATCCATGCATCCCTGAACCCAAACCTCCAGAACATCCATGCATCCCTGAACCCAAACCTCCAGAACTTCCATGCATCCCTGAACCCAAACCTCCAGAACTTCCATGCATCCCTGAACCTAAACCTCCAGAACATCCATGTACCCCGCAACCCAAACCTCCAGAACATCCACACATCCCTTAACCCAAACCTCCAGAACATCCATGTACCCCCAAACCCAAACCTCCAGAACATCCATGTACCCCCAAACCCAAACCTCCAGAATATCCATGTACCCCCCAAACCCAAACCTCCAGAATATCCGTGTACCCCCAAACCCAAACCTCCAGAACATCCATGCATCCCTGAACCCAAACCTCCAGAACATCCATGCATCCTTGAACCCAAACCTCCTGAACAAGGCCCATTGCTTCTGAAATCTTGCAGACAGCAGAAAAGGTCTTCAGGGGCTTTCCGACTTGAATGACTTAAACTTTCCCCAGTTTTTTTATTTTAGGTTTTGGACTTCCCCATGATGATTTTCGCCACTTTTACTCACTTACAGTTGATGAGTGAGTGGAAGGTGACCTCCGGGACCGGTCAGGTAGAGGAGATGCATCACACGGTGATCTAAAGGCTAGAAATCAAAACCGGACCCTGTGACCTCCCAACCGCAACACAACCAAAGGGCTTGACAGGAGTAACTTGAGGTTTTTGGCCAACGATATCTGCACAGTTTATCAAATCACGATCGTGACTACTTCATGCTAGGCTGTATACGCTTTTTATTCTGACTTTTTACTACAAGCCAGATCAATATTGGTCAAGCCCATATTATAACAAATAGCTCCTATTGAAAATCTCAGTGCCACCCAAAGCTTCCAAAATGCCGACCAAGGAAGTCCAGGAAGCCAAGTGCAGCCAGTGCCAACATACGCAGCCATTCATTGAAATCCAGCAGGAAACTCCCTCTCAAGTCACACCCGTAGGACTGGTAAATTTGAGGCTGCGGGGGCCCCCACAGTTGCCAATTTTCTCACAAGGGGGTTGGAGGCTTTAAAAAATGGATCTTTCAAAGAATATTTTTTTCTGAAGTAGAGAAGGTGCACACATTACGGAATGCACTCTGCACAGGGCTGATTCCTGGGCCCCCGGCCGACGGGGCCGTTCCCAGTGGCCTCCTTGCAGCCCTCAGGTCTGACATCGACTTCAGGGGATTGCAGCAGCTAAACCTTCTCCTGTAGAACCTCTCTCTGATTATTAACACATTATTTGGTTGTTATTCTCAGTTTTGCACATTTAACACATTTATGTTGGCTGTTCTAACATCTGCCCAATAACCTTTCTTTAATATGAAGCAGATATGATTGCTGCTTCTATTTTATGAAAGGATGAAGGCAGGGAGAAGTCGGTAACCGGCCTAGGATCCCATCCCGGAAGTGGCTGAGTGGGCACACAGCCCAGCTGCCCCTCCTGGTATGCCCAGCAAGGCCTGCCTGGCAGTGAGCGGTGGCAGTGGCTGCACGGCCTCAGCCCTGAAGGCTCCTGTTCCCCGTCCTGAGCCCTGTCCATGCAGCAGACTCCATTGGAGGGATTCGCCCTTTCCTTCGTCATCGTTATGATCCGACGTTCCCGTAGTGCTCAGTGTTCATTTTTCACACTCTCATCCTGCCATGTGTCTTTCCTGGAATAATCAAGTGTCTCCCACGCAGCTACTTCAATAAGGTCTAAGCGACGTGTTTCTTTGTTTCTGTGACTACTACTAGAAAGTAAAGAAATCATTTTGCAAGATTTATCCTTACAAACTTTTTGTTTCAACGACAGGGCTTCATCAATATTTCCCTTAAAAAAAATTATGAACGTTCATTTAGGATATTTTAAGTCCCAGACTTTGACCATAAGTTGCCCACTTACAAAGTGCCTCTAAATACACACACATACACACACACACACACACACACACACACATAAAATGAAATCTACAAATCACTTGTTACGCATCTGAAATATATATGATCTATTATACATATACATGTATATTCACTGAACGATATTTACTTTTTATTATAATAAAATTCATGTTTTTACAATGTGAGTTGGAAGTCTTCCCAATGCCAGAATAACAGACTTTTCAAGTTATCCATCAACTCTCAGGTCAGTATTACTGGCCCTGGGAGAGGCTACACCAAAAGGAATGAGGTGAAGCCCATTTGGTCCAGCCGACAACTGTGTGTCTGAGGCAGAAACAGACGCCTCAGTTCATCCCCCTGGTCCCCTCCGGGCTGTTGGTGTCTCTGGAAACTAAGTGCAGTGGCATTTGAGAAGCCCTGGATGAAACCCGTAGGTTAAAAGTGTGTTTCCCTCCTATGGATTTGTGCAGTACCCTGAGTAATTACTCTCCATTTCTAGCTCTTAGTTGTCTCATTTGTAAAATGATTTGTCCTCAGTAACTTACTCCATCAGGAAAACCAGACGTGGAGGTTGCTGGATATGTGTTAGAGGGAGGGAGGAAGGGGAAGTGTGTGCGTGGAGGGAGGGAGGCAGGAGCCTTGCGGTGCGTGGAGGAGGCAGGCGGGGGGCCTGGAAGGAGGAAAGGGAAGTGCGTGCGTGGAGGGAGGCAGGAGCCTTGCGGGGCCTGCAAGGAGGAGGGGAAAGTGTGTCCATGGAGGGAGGCAGGCGCGGGGCTTGGAGGGAGGAAGGCGAAGCGCGTGCATGGGGGGAGGCAGGAGCTGCGCGAGGCCTGCAGAGAGGAAAAGGCGGGCTCTTGGAGAAGTGCGGCCTGGAGGCGGCATCCGTCAGAGGTGGACCTTCCTGGCGGAGGGATTTTGTTTTCCTTCTCAGTATGCCCGCTTGGGTGTATGTCTGTAGTTCAACCGCAGATTGTTGGTAATGTCGAGGGAATCAGCAGCGTTCCTTCAAGAAGGATTAATTACGAGCCCGCGTGGTGTTTAAGTTTAGGATGGCCAAGGTGCTCGACACCCCAGCGCCCTTCCCAGGAACCCACAGCACATCCCTGGGCAGCCCGCAGTCCACAGGAGCCCCAAGCTGCAAAGGAGGTTGAAAGACGGGGCGTTGGCAGTGCCCGTGGAGACAGAGAGAGAGGAAAACGATGGCAGGCTGTCCACACCCGCTGTCCACACCCACCCCACATACTGACTCTCGGGGATGGGGTAGGGCTCTGCTTGATGCCCACCTCACACACTGACTCTCGGGGATGGGGTAGGGCTCTGCTTGATGCCCACCTCACACACTGACTCTCGGGGATGGGGTAGGGCTCTGCCCCTCCGCCCCCCGAAGTGTGCATGAACAGGGGCATGTGAATCAAGAGCAAGTATGTTGCCGAAAGACAGCCAGTGAGAAAGGGCTTTTAGGTACAGACACCCCACTCCCCCCCAGTGCAAGTGAGAAGGGAAAAGGGAAGCAGCGACGTCTCCTTAACTCCTGATTTCCTGGGCATCTCGGTGCGACGTGGTGTCAGTGTCTGTGGCAGATTCGCTGCATGTTCCTCAATTTGACGCAGCGTATGGAGCGTCTCTTATTGCAGGTTACTGGATGTGGTACACAGGGTACACTGTCGCAGCTGGAAAGGTGGCACCGATGCTCTGGGAATGCAATGTTATAGGCACAGAACGAGGAGATGAATTGTCAGCCCATTCCCAGGACTGGAACAGGTGACAGAATCCAGAGAAGCACGAGGGAGATGCCACCTCCATGGGCAAGTTGGCCCTGTCCCGATTCTATCTCACACCTCCTTCCACGTGCCCTGAGCCTGCAGGCAAATGCATGTTACCAGAAGCAGCAAAGCAGGTGTGACGGGTGGTGATGGCTGTCTCCTTCCGAACATCTCCAGGTTGATAGCAGACTTAACCTCTGCAACATCTGGGCTGGAGTTAACCAACATGATCAGTTTTGTAAACAAAAAGCACAGCAAAACCACACATGCATCCTTTCCTGGGGCAACCGTGGTGAGGTGCTCTGCTGGGATGTAATGAATAGAAAGTTCTGAGGAGGAAGAGGAGCGGAGCACAGACCTCTGGGGGCCCAAGGCGGGTGGGGGCGAGATCATGAGAGCAGACGCTGTGGCTTGCCGGCGCCCAGCACCCTCTCCCCGTCTGGGTCCCTGGGAAGAGGAGAAGTAACCGGGAGGTGTGAGAACAGGCAGCAAGCTGGAAGATTGTATTTGAAATGTGCATGCGCGGCACGGAGATGAAATTACCTGTATTTGACCTTTCCTTTTCTTTTCAAAGAAAGAATTTGAAATTCCATTTAAAAATCAGAATCAGGAAAAGGCTTGAGGTGTGCAGCTGACTCACTCAATAGATGTGTAATAAGCCTGATTCACATTTGTCTGTGGCGCTGACGTTCTGCCCCCGTCCCTTCCAGACGTCTGAGTTCCCCATTGTCTGGAAGCGTTTTTGCCACGGCTCCTGCGCAGACGTCCTAATCACCTGCTCCTGCTCCTGCTCTTACAGAACCAGGCAGGGCCGCGTTGAGAAGCAGAAACCTGCTGGACAGCTCAGGAAGCCGTAGTGTTGGCCCCACTGTGTGCCCGGCCTCCGTGACGTGTTTAAGTCACACACTTTCTGAGCCTCGAGGCCCTGAGCGACAGTAAGCGTTGAGCTTCAGTGGCGCTGCACACTCAGGTGTCCAGGCACCAGGTTCCTTCCAGGAATGAGTCAAGTGTGGCAGGGCTGCTGGTATGTGTGGCAGGGCCGGGGCCACTGGGAGAGGGGTGGCTGCCGGTCAGCATCTGACAACTGCTCCCAGTGGTAACTCAGTTTCAAGGAAGCAGGAGCTCCTGGTGTTTCAAGGGAAGCCAATAGCCAAAATCTTACTGGAACAAATCTCAGTTTATAAGCTGATGAATCATCTGAATGTTTTGAAATAATGTGCCCTAAGTAAAATCCATCTGCTGCTGGGTTCAGTCCTCTAAGGACCCCTGTTCAAACTTTGGGAAATGTAATAAATATTATTTCTGAAATTCCATGTGCTAGGAAGGAAATCTTGATGCAAAACCTTCCAAATACTATCTCTTTAACTTACTATGACACAAACTAGTATGAAAATTATACGCAAACATATTGGCTGCTAACAGAAGGAAAGTGAAGGTTTGATATTGGCTGGATTATAAAGATATCTTTCCAAATATTCAAAATGTTTAGTGTAGGGTTCCACAGAGGCTATGTCTTCCCCCTAGGAACCTGGGAGGCTTCATGAAGGCCTGAGGCTCCAGACTGGAGACACGGTCAAGTGTGAGACTCACAGACGCCCTGTACCCACACGTGAATGGTTTCTTCCCATGTGCAAGTCTGCATGTGTCTGTGTGTCTGCATGTGTCTGTGTGTGTTTGTGTCTGTGTGCATCTCTCTATGGGTGTGTCTGTGTTTGTCTTGGTGAGTGTGTCTGTGTGTATTTGTGTCTGTGTGTCTCTATGAGTGTGTCTGTTTGTGTGTCTGTGAGTCTATGTGTCTGTGTTTGTCTCTGTGACTGTGTCTGTGTGTTTGTGTCTGTGTGTTTTTCTCTATGAGTGTGTCTGTGTTTGTCTCTGTGTGTCTGTGTGTGTCTAGGTGTGTCTCCCTGTGGGTGTGTGTGTCTGCATGTGTCTGTGTGTGTTTGTGTCTCCCTGTGTGTGTATCTGCATGTGTCTGTGTGTGTTTGTGTCTGTGTGTCTCTGTATGAGTGTGTCTGTGTTTGTGAGTGAGTCTGTGTGTTTGTGTCTGTGTGTGTCTCTCTGAGTGTGCCTGTGTTTTTCTCTGTGAGTGTGTCTGTGTGTCTAGCTGTGTCTCCCTGTGAGTGTGTGTGTGTCTGTGTCTGTGTTTGTGTCTCCCTGTTTGTGTGTCTGCATGTGTCTGTGTGTGTGTCTGTGTGTGTCTCTATGTGTTATGTGTGTGCTGCTTTCACACAAGGCAGGTGGGTGGTGGTAGCTTCCAGGGAGCCTGACTTTCAAGTCCTCGGGATCGGCTGACTCTGAGACCTCTGTTCCCTTCTAGGGGTTGGTGTCAACCCCCCTGGGAGACACGCGTGGTATCATCTCCTCAGGCCTCACTAGCCCTGCACAGCTCTTCGTGGAGCTGAGGGATCCTGGTGAAGCCCTGATGAGGACTCTCACCTGTAGGGCACCTGGGAGGTACCACCTCACCCTGCAGACCTGGGCTTCTCATCTCACTGTGACATTAGGCAGGCAGTAGGCTAGGGCTTGGCTTGCTGCATAAAATGTCCTCTCCATTTGTAATTCCCCAGTGTTGTCCTCAGGCCAGCCCCAGGGGCCAAGGGGAGACGGTCACGGCCAACCAGCCCAAGGTGAAAATAAACTAGCTACTGCACTGGTCCTTCCTACAGGGCTGGTGCCACCTAACCAGGCTCTGTCACACATAATAACACCTTTGCCACCAGGAGCTCACAGAAGATGGTCCTCCTGGATGTAACAGAAGCAGCCTGTGAGCAGCACAACGGGAGGACTGTTTTATTTAGAAAGAAAGCTCTCGAACAGATTAGAATGCCCTTCTCCTTCCATTAATAAATATGTGAAACATAAATCAATCTTTCCTTGGGGACCAGGGCTTATCATTATGAAAATTGGTTCTCATAAAGTGCCGCAGAACAGTGCACACGGGGCCTCTTGAGATGGTGACAGTGTTGGTCCCTTCAGTGTTCAGCCCTAATTGCTATTTGCTGTTTGAGTTCTTGACCTGAACGTGGGTGATTCACACCACTTTTCCTGACCTCCAGTGAGCCGATCAGCCCCACCACTGCTTCTAATTGGCTCATTTGCATGCCCTGGGACTTGGAAAACCACACACGAATCCAAGCTTTGTAGATGCTTAACTAAAATATTGGCAAACTGTCTCTGAATTCATATCTGAGGGGTTTTCCACTGCACTAACAGCACACATGTCAGTGCCTAAAGTTTGAGAAGTGTATTTTGACTGTTCCAATGTCCTTTGTGCCTCATTCCTAGAGGGAGCAGTATGTCACATGACTGGGTTCTAATGAGTTGTAACACATGCAAAAGAAAAATTGTATGACACCAGTTAAGCAAAGAAGGAAGACTTCACTCAAAACTATTGCAACCGGAGAGAGAGACTGAACCCAAGTCCAAATGCACCAGCGGCCAGTGGGGATGACAGCCGAGTGGTGGGGCGAGGGCCTGGAGAGAAAATCACAGAGGCCCTCGGTTAATATCACTAAGGGTGAGGGTGAGCGTCCAGCCCACTATCTCAGCGGGATTCCTGCTAACGCCTCATCCAGGGAGGGCTCACAGGACCCAACCAGCCTTTAGCCAAGGAGGGTGTCCTTGTCAGAGAGAAGTGACCTAATGTTCTCACCCAACATATTCCCAACAAGGCTTCACAGGTGATGCCCCACCTGATCCATTTTCTTGTGTTTCAGGTTAATATCTACAGTTATGATTTTTTTCAGAAAGGTTATTAAACTTGAAAGATAGTTCTTTTAAAGTTCACAAAGAGAATTAATACAAATGGAAATCAGAATTTTACCACTGCATTCAGAAATCACTATGAGTAACCCAAAATACCTCTAATTTGTGGCTTTTTAGGACAATTGAGCAGCATTTCTTGCTTGTTTATCTAGGGGTTTGCAACAAATAATTCAGGATGTATTTTGAAGCCTGCTAAGTGTGGGCTGCATAAACTGTCAAGCATCCTCCAATTATGGTAAACACCCCTTTGAATATTCAGCTGTGAAAACAAGGACCTCTCAGTTCCACTGGAGATGGAAAAATTGCCTAGTCCACATCTTTTAAGCAACTGCTGTTTGTAAATGGATGATTTATCTTCCTGGTATGATCTATGAAATTAAAATATTCTCATTAGCAAACATATTTACAGAGAACCCCATTTGCAATTTTGTATGCAATTTTACATATCCTATATGTGAGTTCAACTTAAATACACCAAATTTGAGTGTCTCTACAGTCCTTAAAAATAGCTAAATCAGAGGTTTGCATGTTTTATAGGCCTCATAAAACATATGATTCAGTCCTGATGCCTAAAGAAGAGACAGAGAATCAGAAAGATCCTAGTTGTAAGCTCGCAATATCTGACTAATTATCATGTGACATTTAACTTAATGTTTGATTCATCATTCTCAGCTTTTCATGAGCAAGATCATAAAATCTATGCTTTTAAATTAAATTCTATTTGGGACAATTTACGCAAATAATTCCTCACACAAATGTACTTACTGTAAGTGCAAAGACATTTCCTTAAGTCAACTGCCGTTACAGATGTTAATTACATAACAATAACTTAAAAACCCTCTATGTTTTTAGTAGATTACATCAGGGGTCTTTTCAGAGTCTACACAAATTCTGAAAGTACGTAAACAGACATGTTTGTCAAAAGATCTTATGTTACCCTGAGCAAATGGGTCTACAAAACCCTTGGTCAACTTTGATGGGTTGAACACATCATGTCAAATAATTGCAACTGTGCTGGTCAAAGCTGATGCCGTTAAACATTGGCCATCTCGAGTCTCAGAGTCTTTCAGATATAAGTTAAACATGTCAGAGCCTATGGGTGGATGAGCTGCGTGTGGGTTCCCGCATTTCCAGTGCCCAGATGCCCTCGCCCCTCAAAAAAAATGAAGCTAAAAATCAGGATTGGAACCAATGTTAGGAAACTGAATGTTGATGAGACGGTTTCTAGCAAAACATTCAGAATTCCCCCTCGGCTGCAGGAGGACGCTGGATACCCCAGATGCGGCAGACCATGGGAAGCAGGGAGAGCTAATGGGCTGGCAGCGGCGTGTGCATGACAAAAATCCTCGGGCAGCTTTCCTGCGGGAACACGATTGGGGGAACACAGTCTGAGCTGTCTTGTAGCAAAGCCGCGTCTGGTCATGAGGATCACCTGGGCGAGAGAGGCTGGGACATGTGCTACTGGCCCCCCTTCGGAGGCTCCGACTCGCAGATGAGCTGCGGCCCAGGAGAATGTGGATTCAGATGCTCGCCCTGGCGGGGCAGGCAGGGCAGGTGGCCCTCAGTGCCCTGCCGACCCTCGGGGCTGTGCTATCTCAGAAAGTCCTCTGGCTCTGTCACCCTGGCACTTGCTCCAGCGGGGTCTTCCTCTCCCTCCCGGTTCTATGCAGCCCTGAACCCTTGTGCGCACCTCTCGTGGCATTTTATAGCGGTGCCATCTCCTCTACTCCTGGGTTATTGGCACCTAAGTAATCCCTGCCCACCCACCCTATCCAATGCTGGTCTCAGCCTGGAGCCTCCATGCCCGGTCCTTCCACCTGGCAGGACTGTGGCTGGGCCCCAGCTCCCTGCAGGCCACTCTGTGGGTCCCTGAATGTCGGGCTAAGCCCTTGGAGTGCTTCGTTGCTGTGCTATCCTTGTCCGTCCTCTGACGCCCCCGTGCCGCACCCTCATTTACTGTGGGCCTGGAGGCCTCTGGTGAGCCCTGAGATGCTGCAAACCCAAGAAGCCTTCGAAGCATCCATGCCACTGGCCTGAGGCCTTCTCTGGGGGACACAAGGCCCCCAGGGAAGTGTCATCTCCAGGGGCTTCCCAGAGAAATGCCCCTCCCTTCCCCCGGACCCCGGCCTGTGCCATCACTCCTTTTTCTCTTGATGTCCTCAGGACCGAGGAGTTGGATTTCCCTGAGCTGCCTCAGAATGGCTGACATTTCCCCTCCCAGTAGACGATTGCTTCTTGGCATTTGGCACAGGCCACAGCCCTGGGCTGGACCCCGGCATGCAGGGCCTAGCACTGTCTATGCACCGCCTGGGTGGGGTGCCTGGGGATTCCCTCTCTGGGCCTCGGGTGCCCCGCATGCAGAAGGCATTCGTGGAGGTCCTCTCGGGTGGGCCCAGTGCTCCTGCATTGGCAGTGGAGGCAGATGTGTGCCGTTCCCTGGGTGGATGCGAGTTCCCCACGTCGGGGTGCGTCCTCTGTTTCTGTGGCGTCTCCCCCAGCCACGCTCAGTGTCTGCGCACAACGCCCACTCACGTGCATTTCCAATGAGCTGGAAACGGCGGTGAAGCTTTTATATTAATTGTTATATGAAGTCTTAAATATTAAGGAAAGATCTAGGGCAATAAGCCAGGGAGCCAGGGGAAATAACTAAAATTAAAGATGTTGAAGTTGGAAGTTAGCAGTGACCTAAGCTTTTTTTTCCTTTAATTATGATTCCAGTACTTCCTGTGGGAAAAGTGAAACTTAATACAAGAAGTTCTGGCAACTCTAGAGATTTTAATGACAAAATACGGGGGCTCCTTCCCCCTTGCCCCTGGTCAAGGTGTCGGCATGACTCACCTTGAATCTCATGGGTCCCTGGTGTTCTTTCTTTCGGTTCTGTGGCCTCCTGAATGCCATCTGTTTTCTTGATTTCCCTTCTCAACATTTCTTCTGCCATCTCATTCTAAGCAATTAAGCCCACGCAACTCAGTGGGGCACAGAAGAACTCTGGCAGTCTTGAGGAGCCATTTGGCAACAGAGCGATGAGGATGCAGCACACAGCGCCCTAGGCTGGGGATGGCAGGGCCCCCAGAGTCAGCCGCATGGGAGTCCCACGTTCCCCTTGCCGTCTGCTGACTGTGATCTTTGAGAAGTTACTTCATCTCCCCAGTCTTCAGCTACTTGTCAGAAATTGAGGGAGGCTAGTGCACTCCTACCAGACGACCGAGATGATGAAATGAGATGATGAACATGAGAGATGCCCAGCACACAGCCTGCTCGCCGTAAACAGCAATTCTTCTTACCAACTGCTAAAGGCCATTCGTGAAATGCATTTCTCTGGACCGTGAAGCCTCTTAGAAAGAAGCCGTGACAGCAGCATTTGTGGGTCGTTAGGTCAGGTCTTTGAAGGATGTGGAGCAACAGAAACCCTCATTCATTGCTGGTGGGAGTGCAGGATGGTGCAGCCACTGTGGAGAGTGGTCTGGAAGTTTCCTGCAAAGCTGAACACACTCTGTTCATACGATTCAGCAAGTGCATACCTTGATACTGACCCACAGGCATGGAAACACAGGCACACAGAAACCCACACACTGACCAGCAGGCATGGAAACACGGGCACACAGAAACCCACACACTGACCAACAGGCATGGAAACACGGACACACAGAAACCCACATACTGACCCACAGGCACAGAAACACGGGCACACAGAAACCCACATACTGACCAACAGGCATGGAAACGCGGACACACACAAACCCGCACACTGACCCACAGGCGTGAAAACACAGGCACACAGAAACTGCACAGAAACAGCTGTTTACAGCCACACTATTCATCATTGCCAAAACTCGGCAGCAGCCAGATGTCCTTCAGTGGGTGAATGGATAAACAGTAGCACGTTCAGACCAGGGAATGATATTTCATGCTAAAAAGAAATGACCTGGCCAGGCGTGGTGGCTCACACCTGCAATCCCAGCACTTTGGGAGTCCGAGGCAAGCAGATCACCTGAAGCCAGGAGTTCCAGACCAGCCTGGTCAAGATGGCGAAACCCTGTCTACTAAAAATACAAAAATTAGCCAGGCATGGTAGCATGTGCCTGTAGTCCCAGATACTTGGGAGGCTAAGGCAGAAGAATCACTTGAACCCAGGAGGCAGAGATTGCAGTGAGCCGAGATCACGTCACTGCACTCTAGCCTGGGTGACAGAGCGAGACTCTGTCTCAAAGAAAAAAAAAAAAATTCATTTGTCAAGTCATGAAGACACATAGAGAAAGCTTAAATGCACATTATTAAGTGAAAGAAGCCCATCTGCAAAGGTTACAAACTATGTGATTTCAACTCTATGATGTTCTGAAAAGAGCGAAACTACGCGGACAGTAAAAAGATTCATGGTTTCCAGGGGTGGCGGGGAGGGAGGGATGAGCAGGCGGAGCACGGAGGGCGTTTCGGGAGTGGCAGCGCTCTGTAGCAGCGCTCTGTAGCAGCCACGGCGGGGAGATGCACTTGTCGCAATTCTCAGAGCCGCACCACGCAGAGTAACCCAGATGTAAATAGAGCCAATAATAATGCATCAATACTGCTTCATCAGTCGTAATCAATGCGCACATGGATGCAAGATGTTAATAGTAGGACAAACTGTGTACAAGGAGGCGGCATGTATGGGAAGTCTCTGTACTTTCTGCTCAACTTTTCTGTAAACCGAAAACTGCTCTAAAATAGTTGATCACTTTTAAAATACTTTAATTGCACACTATAAAATATATTGAATTTATAAAATTTATTAACTGAGTTTACCAAATAATTCAATTGAACATTGCAGCTAATCACATCCACTGGACTTAAATTTAGCTTTGTCCTGTGTCTGCCTGGTGATGTCGTGTTCCGCGTCTGGTTGATTGGCAGTTCTCTGGGTCACACCCTGGCGTTCTGCTGATGCTCCCAGGCCACATGTGTACAAATGTCTGGTCCGTAGAAACCAGAGCAGAGGTGGCCGCTGCCCGTCAGGAGCCAGTGCTTCTTCCCCTAGAGGGGCACTGCTGGGAGACGTCGCCCCAACTTCCTGCCCAGCACCCTGGGCACCCGGCGTGGTCACAGCAGGAGCGGAAATGATGTGAATTGTTGCAACCGGAGCCTGCGGACTCCTCCCTGCTGTCCTCTGTCTCTGGCCTGCTGGAAGCCATGGGTTTCGAGGGGCCGTAGTTCACTGCAGACCCTAGCCTCACCCAGATTTGACAGTTCTGGAACAGGAAATAAACTCGCTCTAGTTTTTAATAGCTGTGGTAAAATTACCACAAACTAAGCAGCATAAAACCATGCCATTTGTTACCTCATGGTTCCGTGAGTCAGAAGTCTGGGCCCACGTGGCTGCACTGAGTCCTCTGAAAAACCCTTGCAAGGCCGGAACCAAGAGCAGGCAGGTCAGGCTCTGGGTGGGGGAAGGGGTCCATGGGGAAGCTCTGCAGGGGGCTCCGAGGGCCCTGCCCCGGTTCAATCAGGGCGCTGGCTGAATTCAGTTCCTGAGGCCGAGGATGGAGGCCCATCTCCTCTCCGCTGGGGCCAGCCTGGGCTCCTGGAGGCTGCCTGGATGAATTCCTCCTCAAACCCGTGGACCGGGCTCCCCTCACCTCCAAACCTCTCTGATTTTAGTGGGAGAAAGTTCTCTGCTTTGAAGGGTTATTGGATTGGGCCAATAACCCTTCCAAGAATAGTCTGGGACATCCTCCCACTGCAGGGTCAGTAACCTTAACCACATCCTTAAAGCACCTTCAACGCTGAAAAGTAACATGTCTGGGTCCCGGGCTTAGGGTGTGGACCTCCCTGGGGACTCCTGGGCTCAATGCACATGCCCTGAGAGGAGCAGCTGCAGTGCAGGTTCATCTGTCAGAGCGTCTGCCGCTGCCTCAGTGCCTGCATTTCCCTTTCTTCAGCCTGATTTATAGCTCCTAGCCCCTTTCCCTCCCCAGCAGCAGTGCGGTTCCGTAGAGGGAAGACGGTGAAGCTGCCCAGAGACTTGAGTGCCTGATTCTCCCCGTCCCTTTGCACTTGGGAAATTTAGGGCAAGTGTGTGAAAGTCAGTGCCTGAAGTATCTGTCTGTGCAATGGGAGTGATTGTGACATTATCTGAGGCAGGTTTGGAAGAGGATCCTGGGCAGTGTGACTGCTGGTTCCTGTCTGCTCGGTGAATGCCGACCCTCACATGGTGCCCTCCCTCTGTCTCTGCTCTGGGCTGGTTCTGTACTCCCCACCCTGGCTCTGCTTCCCTGGCTAAAGCCCACCCTCTGCTTAACTTGTCTGCACTCTAGGTGCTTGCCGGGGCCCTCCCCCAACCCTAGCTGCCTCTTCAGACAGACAACTTCCAAGGCATCCTGTAAAATAAAGACCATGAAGGAAAGAAACCTGGCCCAAGGCAGTGAAGCTTTCTAATTCTCTTTCTCCTCTATTGGGAGATGAGATGAGAGGACGTTTGGGTGGGGAAGAAAGGGATAACCTGTGAGACATAGGCCATCTGTGACTCAGGAAACCGTGGAAACCCACCCTCCCTCTAGCTAAGGTACACAAAACCACTGGGAATGTACCCAATTATGACCCAGAGAAAGTGACGACGGGGACAGGGCCTGGGGAATGTGTAAGAGTTAAAGAAAGAAGAAAGGAAACATGAAAAGTGGCTTCACAGTCAAAGACAGGTTTATTTTGGAAAATAAACCTGAGAGGGGCTTCTGGCTGATTTCGGTCAGGAGCACTCTCTTACAGACTAAGGGTATTTAAGGGTTTAGGGAGGGGAGCTTATCGCAGGCTCGGAATGTTTCTGTGTGAGGGAAAGTTTATTGCAGGGTTGGAATGCCTCTGTTTGGAGACGAGGTTATCTCAGGGTTGGCATGTTTCTGGTCAGAGGGGGGGTTTATCTCAGGGTTGGAATGTTTCTGGTCATGCTGACATTAGCCATTAGGCTGATGTTTTGGGGCTGGATTTAGGTGGTTTTTAATCAAGGAGAACTTAAAATGGTGGCGTTTGTCCAAGATGGTGATGCTCCTGCTCTATCAGAATGTGGTTAAACATGCAGTGGAATGAAGGCAAGGCCAGACGTATACTGACACAGTGCGGATCAAAAGTTCAGAGACTTTGGGGCCAAGGTGCAGGGCTGGGGATGGGCAGGTGTCCATGGATACCCCGACACTGGATCCAACTCTGCTACTGCTCACCTGATACACGGGGTCCCAACAGGAAACATCAGAGGGGCACAATTATAAGACAAATCCACCCTTTTTCTGGGGTCTTGGGCCTTACGTGTTCTGGTTGACAGGGCAAAATCCCAGGGGCTCTGGAGCCCCAGATACTGGAGCTATTCGTTCCTTCTTTACCCCTCATTACATGCAGTTACCTGTGGCTGACATGACTGGCCACCATTCCACCCCAGTTTAATCCAACATACATAGTCACACTCATCTGTAAACTTCCCAAAGGTGGGACCTTACGACCGACTTTGCTTCCCTCATCTGAATATATTAATAATTAATAATTTCTGACACAGAGTGAAATGCTCAATAAATGTTTGTTGAACCAAACTAAACAACACCCAAGTGCTGTTAGTGCACCTGCAGAAGGGGATTGATGATTATCCTCCAGGAAGTAGCCAGTGCTTTGTGAGCACAGGCTCGGTCACAGGGAGCTTCTATTCTGCATGCTCCACTCCCCAGACTGGAAGGGGGCGATGGAGGAGGAGGGTGGACACAGGATACTGGAGGAGAGCAAGGAAGGCAGGCGGATGAACCAGGAAGCTGCATGATGGGTTGCCCAGGCAGGGCAGGCAATGGAGGAAGAGGGTGGAGACAGCCCCTGCCCCGGGGTCTCACAGGACAGTGGAGGAGAGGAAGGAAGGCAGGCAGATGAACCCAGAAGCAGCATGATGGGTCGCCCAGGCAGGGCAGGCAATGGAGGAAGAGGGTGGAGACAGCCCCTGCCCCGGAGTCTCACAGGACACTGGAGGAGAGGAGGGAAGGCAGGCAGATGAACCCAGAAGCAGCATGATGGGTCGCCCAGGCAGGGCAGGCAATGGAGGAAGAGGGTGGAGACAGCCCCTGCCCCGGAGTCTCACAGGACACTGGAGGAGAGGAGGGAAGGCAGGCGGAGGAACTACTGGAAGCAGCATGATGGGTTGCCCAGATGGGGCAGGGCCCAGCAGGAGCTACCCCTGCAGATGTGGGCATAGGCGAGTTCACCAGGCTCTGAAAGTTGGGCTGGGATTGCCCGGATCTTAGAGACAAAGGCGTTGTATTCCAGCCTCATCGTTCTGCAGCTGGAGACGCGCTGAGAATTCAGACTAAAGTGACCGGGGCCGGCAGTGGGGCTCCAGGCTCCTTCCAGGGAAGAGGGATCACCCCGCTCCCACTGTCTGAATCGTGTTTCTGTGCACGTTTTAGTCAGTTTGGTTTTTTCGTTTTTTAGATGTCGCGTGGGGACCCCCATTTTCTGTCCCTGTGCCTGGCTCCGGCCTTCCCCCAGCTCATAGACAGGACGGGGATGTGAGCAGCAGAGGAGCCCGGGGCAGGCCAGGAAGGACTCCCATCCCCGTTTATTTAGCAGGTGTGGAATGATTCGGTCTTTTCATTGTAATGCAGATTTACAGTGCAATAGGCAATCTATTTTTCAATTTGGTATACTGCCGCTGATAAATTAACAGATGTCGATTGACTTTTTCCCTCCAGTCCCCTGTGTTACACCTGACAGGCCTACTTTATAGCTGAGCAGTTATTTGAAGTTATAAACATTATAATTAGCAATTTTTTAATTAGGCTGACAATTAACAGGAGATTTGCAAAGCTGCTAATTTGACATGTCATACTCTCCGTAGTGCTTATGTTAACCACAACTTGAGTGAATTCAATTGAACAGAACCACAGTGTCTGGGAAAAAATCAATCTCAGAAGAACCCTTTCTCCCCACTTGGCTGGCTTCATGGCACTTGGACAGAGAAGTGGAAATTCAGAGATTTTGCAGGATAACAATACTGACAGCTGAACCCCAAACAATAGCAGCCTCCGCGAGACTAGCTCAGAGCACACGACACAAAGGCAGGTCCTGCTAATTGCATCTGAGGCTCTTGCTTCAAAGTCTTGACGACCTAAGGCAGGTTGGAGGCTCTGTTCTGATGCCAGTTGCTCCTTAGACCTCATCGCCAAGGAGACCTCCTGATGCAGACACCAGCAAGGGCTGTCGTGACAGAGGCTTGTCCTGTATGGCTGGGAGCTTCCCCTGCACCACTGGGTCCTGTGCTGATGCCAATGGAGTGAGAGAGAGATAGAGAGACAGAGAGAATCAGAGACAGAGAGAGACGCGAATCAGGCAGAATCAGATAGAGACAGAAAAAGAGACAGACAGAATCAGACAGAGACAGAGAGAGAAAAGAGATACACAGAGAGAGAAAAACAGAGAGAATCAGACAGAGACAGTATCAGATAGAGACAGAGAAAGACAAGAGATACACAGAGAGACAGAGAAAAACAGAGAGAATCAGAGAATCAGATAGAGACAGAGAGAGACAGAATCAGATAGAGAGAGACAGAAGAGCTACATAGAGAGAGAGACAGAGAAAAACAGAGAGAATCAGACAGAGAGACATACAGAGAGAGAGAGAATCAGATAGAGACAGAGAGAGACAGAAAAAGACAATCAGATAGAGATAGAGAGACACAGAGAGAGACAGGGAGAATAAGATACAGAGAGAGAGAGAGACAGCATCAGACAGAATCAGATAGAGACAGAGAGAGAGAATCAGACAGAGAGACACAGAGACACAGAGAGAGACAGTAGAGACAGAAGAGATACACAGACACACACAGGATCAGATAAGAGACAGAGAGACACAGAAAGAGAGAGAGAGACTGAGATAGAGAGAGACTGAGGCAGACACAGACAGAGAATCAGATAAAGAGAGACAGAGAATCAGATAAAGAGAGACAGAGACGGGGAGAAACAGAACCAGAGAGAAACTGAGAGCAGAGAGAAAGAGAGAGAATCAGAGACAGAGATAGAGAGGGAGAGACAGGAGAGAAAGACCGGGAGGGAGGCTGCCCTTCCACCTCCAGGGAGTTCATCCCATCCATGCCTCCCAGCAAAGGAAGCTCTCACCATGGCCCCTGGCTCTCGGATTCCAGCACCCTGCGCTCGGCTTAGAGGACATACTGCATTTACATCCTTGGACCTTGGAAGGCTTCTGAGGTCTGTTACTTGGTAACCGCCTGCAGCACAGGAGATGCTGCCTTCTGTTGGAGGCCTCGAGAGACTCCAGAAATGGGAGACCTTCAGGAAACCGTGGCTTCAGAGGGGAGAGAGATGGTGAGTGCATTATCTCCATAATCTGTCTGAGGCCAAGAGAGGAGGAAAGACAAAATTATTTGAAAATTTCCAGTAAGAGGAAGAGAAAGTGTTACATTTTCACCGCTTTTAAAAAGAAGGAATTTTAAACATAAAAAAATATGATTTATCAAATTCCTTGAGTTACTCCTTGCTTTCTTTTCCCTAGGCTAAATCTCACTTCCTGTGTGCAATGAGCAAGCCATTAATTAGAATTTGCAGTACTACAAGAAGCAACGTACTGAAGTTGAGCTGTGCCATTGAGCTTTGCTTAATAACTTTTTGCTGCTTTCATACTTTTTTGAAAATCTAGATCAGAAGAAATTGGCCACCTGGAGACTCTGAATCTGAAGACCTCTTTTCGAACTTTTCACAAGGCTGCATGCTTTCTATGGTGTACGTTGTGGAAAAAAAAAATAGAATTTGGCATCACTGAGTTAATCAGAAACCCTAAGTTTTATGAGAACTTTTGTTAAACACCACACACACACACACACACACACACACAAAACACTAGATGGGTACCACTGCTTTAGGAAGAGAGAGTTCCTTGATTTTTCAACTTAAAGTATCTTATCTTTGAAGGAATTTGCTTTGTTTTTTTCTGGCCCATCCTAATGCCTCTACTTCATGGCATGGAAAAAAAATCCACAGCATTCTCTGGGCAACAGGATAAATAAGCCTTGAAGATAATTTTAATTTTAAGATAACCTTCCCATATATAATAGGCACATTAAAAAAAGATTAATTACCATTATTATCTTTGAGCACATTGGCCTAAAGAAGTCAGTTCTAGTCACAGAGTCAAAGCTGGCACATCCCACATGAAGACGCGTGAGAGTCCCAAATCTCAAGTCATAGCCAACACCCCAATATGAAGAGAAAGGCCTTTTATGCAACAAGTGTGCGTCATTCACAAGACCACGCACTAGAGGAATAGAGTTGTATATTATTAGCAGCTCTCTCTCTCTCTCTCTCCCTTTTTCTCTCTTTCCCTCTCTCTCTTTCCCCCAACCTCTCAACCAGTATGAAAGTGAAGCTATCTAATACCACCCCAAAAATATCAGATGTTGTAAAATTAGCACAATATGAGATTGCAAAGAAGTATTTGTCTTTGGGCTAGGAGTCATGGCAGAAGAGAAAAGTAGAATTACACGTGGACCCTGGGAGGCTGGCAGGGATTCCTGGTGGAGGAGACGCCATGAGTCCCTAGGTTCGACGTCATCTGAGGCCCCAGATGAGCATACATTGTTCTACTAACACAAGGGGGATTATTTCAAAGTTACTTTCCAGGGTTTTAATTGATGCCCATTTTGGCGATGTAGTACCTTTAAAAGATTACGTTATGATGTAGTTTCTGTTTTCAAAAGCAGGGGGAGTAAGAAAAATATCCCAGAAGTGCATTAATAAAAGTGCTTACAATTTTATAAAGACTTTACTCTTAGACAGCTTTATTTCAGTTATCTGAAAAATTAAATGTGAACACTGTTTTGTCTGGATGAAGCTAGATAAACGAGATATATAGGTGTGTGGGCACACCTCACACCTCACACAAAACCCACAGCTTACTTCAATACAACTTTTAGTGAAACCCACTAATTTATAAGCTCTTTTGTAATGTAAACATGAAAATAGATATTCTTCCTCCTTCCAAGAGGTGGTTTGATATCCACAAGATTAACTTTGAACAAAGATGCTACTGAAAATACTCAAAACCTCGCTTGTTCCAGTACTGACACATCAAAAGGGATCCTCCATGAACTTACTCCTGAAAGCCAGCCATGCCCATGAGGCCATTTTCTAATAAAAAGGCATTTCCAGTTTTCTTTTTTTTTTTAATTCCACTTTTTCTAATGTGGTTTTCCATCTCCTGTTTAGAGTCAATAAAAATGCTGAACTTTGACCTAGAGCATAGAATGTTTGAAAATGCAGAAGGTGCCAGCACTCCTTTATTTTGATAGTTAAACACACAGGACAGTTTTACAGTGGTTCTGTTAGAATAAATAGTTAATCAATAGCAAATTAGGTATAATTAGGTGTGCGTTGCAGTTTTTACCTCTGATGGACCCGACAAGCCTTGCAGAAAACTCAGCCCGGAAAAGATGCCTGGATGGCAATGTGGGAACCTGGTGGTTTCTCCCTTCTCTTCTGCATTAGGGCCAGTCTGGGAGTGAAACCTGCCACGTCCCCTTAGACCCTGGGGTGTTGAGTGGGCACCCGCTTTCCACAGCATGGAGCTTGGCTTAATTATCAACACCCCCTCTGTTCTAGTGCCTTATTGTCCAGGACAATGAACTGTCATAGCACAGGCAGGTTCAGCAGCCAAGGGGTGTGGCCTCAGGGCTCAGGGGACACCCTACAGAGAAACCTCAAGGAAAGGCCCCATGCAGGGCTAACCCTGCCCCTGCTGGAACCTCACCTCCCAGTCCTCGCCCTGTGTCCCCTGCATCTCTCCCAAGGGTCTGCAGGGGAAGTGAGATTCCTCCCGACCGCGTCCTCACCCTCACGCCTGCCTGCTGTGCTGATGGCTCCACCTTGTAACTGAATGTGACTCTGGCATTCCAGCTCTCGTGGGCTGGCCAGCACCTTCACACAACTGAGCATTTCATCACAGGTGCCTGGCATGGCCCAGCATGCATCACCTTGGGCCTGGCGTGTGGCTGGGAAGGGGCTGCAGTGATCAGCAGCCATGAGCCAAGCTCACCTGCAGCACACAGAAGCATGCAGGGCCAACCTGGTAGAGTCGTCAGGGAGAGGCGACATTGCTGCCATTACCAAATAGCCCACATAAATGCCCACTCCACCCTCTGAGGGACTGCACTTCGGGATCGGTCCATGCTGGGATCTGACAGAACCAAAGGAAACAGGAAAGCCCCGCCCTGGCAGAACCTCTGTCTAGAGGGGTAGGTGGGCAGTAAGTGGGAAGCTGGGGAGTGAGCCCTGAACTGCCACCCTGCGGGGAAGCTGGGGCACACTGCACAGGTGGAAAGAGGGGTTCTGGGTGGGGCTGCACAGGGGAGGCACCACCACGCCGGAAGGGGATTTCAGAGCTTAGACAGAAGCAGGTGATATTGGAGGGTCTAGGTGGTCTCCAGGAACAGGCCTGTCTCAGCACCCCTGGGGTAGCCAGTGCCATGGGGTGGCCCCCAGGAAATGTGGCCCTCACACTGCAGCCTTGGGTGAGCTAAGACCCTCGGGGGAGGCGTGCACTTCCTGTCCCCATGGCCACTGGAACCTGTTGAAGCTGAGCCTGAAATGCAAGCCTCAGGCAACCAGAAAACTACATGATCACCTCAGGTTGCTACTGACTGATTCAGGTATTGGTAGATTCATTTCACCCCATTTCAAGTGGATTTGATGTGGCTTACAACACCTGCAATGGCCACAGAGAACAGGGTGATGGGGAAGGAGCAGGCGTGGAGAGGAGACCCAGACACAGGCAGGAGCATCGGATGCTGAAGGCACCTCTGCTCCTCTACCTCCACAGAGCCAGCCCCCAGGACCCCCGGGGCAGCTGTGGGGCATCTCCCTGCGATTTTATGCTCATTCTGTTACTCCCCTCCCCCAGCCACACGGAGCCTCCCTCCTGGGGGTCCTGACTTCATTGTACCCTGGGGCAAGGCGGCCTTTCAATCGCAAGCTGCTGAAAACCCCATTAATAAAAACCCTGCTAGGGAGGGTTAACAGGAAAAAAAATCAGTTCTTCACCATCAATTTGATTACTCATTTATTGAGGGTCTACTGTGTCCATGGCATTGGGCCTGGTCCTAAATTCAGGGAAATTTAACAGGATTTGGGAGGAGATGAGACCGAACATGTGGTGCCACAAAACCCAGACCCTGCGGCTCTGCAGGCACAGAAGGTGTTGGGTGGACACTGCGGCTCTGCAGGCACAGAAGGCGTTGGGTGGAGACTGTGGCTCTGCAGGCACATGAGGCGTGGGGTGGAGACTGTGGCTCTGCAGGCACACGAGGCGTCTGGTGGAGACTGCGGCTCTGCAGGCACACAAGGCGTCGGGTGGAGAGCGCTGACCAAGATTGAAAGTGGGCACATTCCTGGGCCCCCCAACATTCCTGGGACCCCACAGAGCCTACAGCAGCCTCAAACCCCAGCCTCTTCATGCCCCTGGACTGTCATCAACACCCTCTGCCAGACACCAGCAAGGGAGGTTCTTTCTGTGTCTCAACAGCAGCTCTGAGCAGGGATTCCTGTTCCATGCTGTCTCCCCAAGTCCTTCTGCCATGACTGGGACCCCAGGCAAGCCAGCGCCTGGGCACCAGTCTCCCTCCTCGCCATCTCCTGTCTGTCTCTAGGCTGTGGCAGCAGCCCCATATTTCCCCTGGACGCTGACACCCTCGTGCAAGTCACCTCCGTGGGAAGGTGGCCCTTGGAGACAACAACAGCCTCACATTGGGATCAGCCACCCTTTTGCAGGGAAGCTCTAAGTGGCCATTTCCAAGCACTCTGTGATTGGGTGCCTGAGATGGTTGTCATCAGGATCCCAGGGGGGAGGAGGCCTCCATCGTCTGAGGGGCTTGGCATCTCAGGGAGGACACTGGCCTTGGCAGAAGAGGAGTAGAGCAGAGAAAGCGTGCATGCCCCCCAACTCTGCACACACGCACCCTTCCATCACTGTCACGGATCGGCTGGTTTGTTTATCAGTCCTAGGCCAAGACCTTAGTCTTGGGGGGTGATAAGAGGGCAAATCTTGGAGTGAAAGCACACAGTCAAGTTCAGCACCATCTAACTGCATTAAAAATGGGTAATGAGCCTTCCTTGCTGATGCTGACCTGTGCAAAGAAGGCCTGCCTCAGGACGGCTTGTTTTCATGAGGACTGAAAAGGTCAACACAAACCAAGAACAACAATATGCTACCCAGTAGCAAAAGGAAATTAATGAATAAGGAAAAATCATAGCAACAATTCTAGCAAGCAATGACTTTCTTTTGCACACCGCACAAATTAGCTATTTCTCATTTGCCCCCCGAGGAAGTTTCTCTTCCTCCCCTAAGAGCAGATGTCAGTGGTAGGAGGACAGAATCCAAAAGGTGAGCCCCGAGCTCTGGAAAGGAAGTGGGATGCTCCCGGGAGGAGCACAGATGGCTTGGTCTTCCCGGGAGCTGGCAGCAGCCTGAGATTACACGGAATGAATTAAACCCAGTAGGGGCCTTGGCAGTCCTGGTCACTGCTACGTCCCTAGCAGGGCCGGTGCACAGTGGGTGCTCAGGAGCATTTGCAGAACAGATGCCCCAGTTAAAAGCTGAGACTGGGCAGCCATGCTGAGCTGTCACTGGCCAGGGCTGTGCTGCAGGGCGTGAGGTGGCCCCTCCCAATAGAAGCAAGCAGGGGACAGACCCGCTTTGCTTTTTGCAGTGTGTGACCTCCTAGAACATCAAAGATATTGGATGGCCAATCAGAGTTCACCCAAATTACTGGAATACAGTGACCATAATCACAAAGAGAAAGGCGCAGCCCCGTCCCCAAGGATCTCAGCAGGGTTGATGGAGCCCAGCTCTCTGTATTGAAAACCATTTTATTTATAGTGTCGTTTTTCTCAAGAACTGATGCTTTTCGATGGATCTTTGTGTAAGCTGGACCAGTGGAGATAGCGGTCTCTCCTGGGCAGGCTCTGCTCCCACTGGGAACCAACCCTGGGTCGTGTGGGGGTGAGAAGAGCCCTGAGGGGCCCTGGGCCTGTGTGATGGTCACCTTCACGGGCAGAGAGAAAGCAGCACCCATAAGCAGGCAGCCCCCGCTCCCCCCGAGAGTCACGCCCACCACGCTCAGGCAGTAAGGCCCCGCTTCGCTGTCTGCTGTCTTCATTTATTCTGCACGAAATGTGCCCCTTGCTTGGCAGTAATTACAAATGATGAACAGCCAAACAGCACGGGCCTGAAATTTCTGTATGTGGGAAAGACAGCTGGCAAGGGACTAGTGTGCTGAGGTCAGGGGCTGGTTCTGGAAGTTCCATCCAGTCAGGGAGTGTGGTTGTCTAGGCGTGCACAAGCAAAGGGGTGCAGCTGGTGGAGAACTTGGCCCTGGCCATGGCAGGTGGGGGTGCTGCCCCCTCTCTCACATCACCCACTGCGGTGTGGCTTGCAGGACCCTGAGAACCAGGGAGGGCGGCCTGCCCCAGCCACCCCAACACCCCCTGGGGCTCGCCAGGGCCAACCTTGGAGACCTTGCCCAGATGGGGCCTTCGCCGAGCCAGGGCTCGATGGAGAAACTATGTATTCTGAGCTGTTTATTTAAGCACAGGGTGGTTCCTAATGGAGCCATCAGACCTTGCTCATTGGCTAATAGTTTAATTGGGCCCATCTGGAGGACGCTGTGGCGAGAACTGTCCCTGCTCTGATATTGGCAGGGAGGCAATTTGTCATTCTGTGGCCAGTGACTGGCACTCCCATCCCCAAAGCCACACAGAAGCCGGGCCGTCTGTCTCACGAGGGGAGAGCGGAACATCTGAAGCGTTGTGTGTTCACCTTGGCACAGAAGGAGAAACGCAGCTCTCTGGTGTCCTTCAGATAGCCTCGGCTTGGGAGACCAAGCTGCTAAAGTCAGCCTGGTGCTGTGTGGCTGGCCAGCCCTCACATGAGCCGGGAAAAGCTGCTCCACCATCTCGGACACGCGGGGTTTTGGTGACCGTGCTACATCCACGTCAGCATTTGCCAGTGTCCCTCGACCCTCTGCTAGGGGCAAATGTCCCACTGCTGAGAAGCTCCAGGCACGCACATCTTCCTCAAGTGTCATTAACTGTCAGACCTTCTTACTCCCCTATCCGGGACTGCAGTGGGCGGACAGAGAATTAAAGCTTCACTCCAGGAAAGACCTCGTGGACGGTCGGTGGAGTCATGTGCCCGTTTAATTTAAGATAGTAAGGGACAGATTAACTTAGACCTTTCACGGACCGATAGCAAGGACTTCTGATGCAGTTAGATCAGTATCTGCCACTTTTGTATGGGAAGGTGCTGTGAAGTTCGCCAAGACTGGCGGAGGTGCGTTTCCCTGCGCTGTGGTCATGTCTGGGCTGCAGCCTACCAGCACCACATTATTTATGAGCCACCTCCATTCTCCACCCCCTTCAGTATCACAGCCCCTCGAGTACTTAGCTTGTCAAAGGTCCTAGCAAAGTGTCTTTACCATCTGGTAATGTGGATGCTGACCTACTCAAAACACCAGGAGGCTCCCCTTGCAAACCCAGAATTTTCCTCTCCTTTAAGTGACATCAACCAAGGTTAAGTAGCTTCTAGAAACACTGAAGAATTTCTTACCCCCAAAAAACATAAACTAGGCTATAAATCTCACTCTTTGTAGAGCTGCCACTTAATCTATGCTTCAGAAAAGCATGTGAGAGCAGTCATGAACGTAGCCAGTCTTGCAGACACCACCACCATATTTATGGCAAGCGTCCACCATGGGGAACAACAGCAAGAGCAAATACAGTCTACTTGTTCTTGGATATTTCACCTTGGGAAGACCTTCAGGGAGGGTTTGTAGTTATGAAAAGGTATGATACGCAGCCCAGCCAGTGACAGAAGCAGGACCTCCAGGTCCTCCCGGGTTTGTGTAATCATCGCTCCTCAGGAAGCCACTCCCTCATGATTTCAGAAATCGTCTCAGGTAATTTTAGGAGTAATTACCTGTGCATCACAGATCTAAGATCTCTAGTGGAGCTGGAGAGACCATCTCCTCTGCCTGAATAGATACAGCACTCTTACTGATGATACAGCTGAAACCCAGAAAGTCAGCAGCTCCATCAACTCAGGACTGGGGTGTCCAGCACTGCATCTTGTGGCTGTCTGGCTGAGATACACCCTGGCTGGCCCAGGGGCATATCCCACCGACTGGAGCACACTCTGGCACATCTGGTAATCTGGCCCAGGTTATAGGGTCATTTCTGGCAAAGCAATCAACCAATTAGAATTTCACATATGTGCCTAAACATTTGAGACACCCATACCTTGTGTAAAGAAGCTAGCTGTTAAAACAGAAAAGTGGACACAGGTTAGCTGTCAAATGAGCCACGGAGAAAATTAAAGGGAGACGTTATCATAGGACAGAATGGTCAGGAAAGATGAACTGTGGCTGAAGGGCAGGACAGGGGCCCAGATCATGATAGAAAAGTGTATCCCCTGTGGAAAATTGGGGAATACTCGATGCTGAAGATTGCACATGTAGAGTCACAAGGGACTTTGAAAATTCCCTTCAAATTCCCTGATTCCAATTTATGATACGATTTCAAACCAAGTACAAGTACATGACTAAGGACATTTCAAAGGCTGTAAAAATAAATCATCCTTCTTTTTTTTCTGAATTTCATTCCATACAAGCAAATTAGGCTGATCCAACCAAACATAAATGGAAAGATGGGCATGAATGTGTTGAGTTTGCGTCTGAGGTCCGTGCCTGTGCACCCCGGGTACCCCACACAGCCTCTCTGAGCTTCACCGGAGCATCCACTTTTTCAAGATTTCTATACCAAGTATGGTAGCATCCTCTGTAAAGTGCCTTATTATCACCGCAAACTGTGGAGGGGCAGCCCGCCTGGTGCTGAGTAGGTCCTGCTCCACCTACTCGCCTGCAGCTGACATTGCACCAGTTGTTGAATGTCAGCGTCAGTTGCCCTTGTAAGATGAGGAGCTAGAGACTGCCCCTCGAGAACAGTGGTGCTGACTCCATGGCCTACCCCATGGAAGATACTTTGTAATGCAGATGGCGTCTAAAACACGCTCAGTTAACCAACCATCACTTCTGCTGCTAAGACACCGCTATCGCTATGACTAGACTTCGTTAGTCAGCGTAATGGTAGATTCATCTTCTGAACATGCCGTAAAATAGAAAGGCAGCTCAAAGAGTACCAGAGCTGGATTGCCTGAAAACATGTTTCCACGGGGGCCAGGGTCTCTTGATCGCTTATACGTATGGACCAATGCTTACCCACATGTTTATTTTCTAAGTGAACAGTTCTCGAGCGTAGGCAGGGACGATTCCAAGCACAACGTGATTTACTTTGTAAAACTATGGGGGAGATGGCAGAACAAGTATTTCCTAAAAAACACACTTTTAAAACAAGCAGTTGAGCCAGCTCGAGTTCATTCCGTTTATGAAGGGTCCTGGGGATGCTTGAGGAGGAGGCTGGAAATCAAGCCCACGGCTCTTCCTGTGTCCCAGCTTCAAGGTAAAGAACGTGACTTTGTGCCTGGTTGTGTGTGAAAGGGTTCGAGATAAATCCTGCTTTGAAGAGACTGTTACTATGGAAGATGAATTATTTTAGGAAGCAAAGGGGAAAGTGCAGCACAGATACAGTGTAAACTTCATGTAATCACCTGCAGAAGTTCAGAAGCCAGAGAAATGTTACACTTCAGAAAAAAGAAAACAGAAGCTTTTTAAAACTATAAAAATGTGTTTTCAGTTTCCTAAACTTTCTGCTAACATGTCTATGTGGCTTTAAACTGCAGTCTTCTTGGATTTCCCTAAATTATCCCTCTCAGAGAAGACATGTATCCACTCAATTAGAATTTATCACACCAGTTTAATGGCATTTCAGGCTCATAAACTGGAGCCTCCAGTTCGAGATATACCCTAAATTTAAAAATTGTATATATAATACATACACACATACATATATAGACACACCACACATACACACACATACACATATACACACATGCATATATACACATATACACACATGCATACACACACACATATACACATGCATACACATATATACACACACCACACATACACAACATATACACACATACATATATACACATATGCATGCACATACATGCATATACACACATATATGCACACATACACACATGTATACACACATACACATATATACTCATATACCCCCACACATATATATCCACACACATATAAATACATATCCCCACACAGACATATATACACACACTATACACACACATACATGCAGATATATATATACACATGTATACTCACATAAACACACATGCATGCATATATGCAGGCATATATATACACATGTATATACACAAGTATACACACGTACATATACACATATTTAAATGTATATACACAGGTATACACATATGTATACACATATATGCACACACATGTATGCACATGTATACGCATACATATATAGACACACGTGTGCACACACACATATATACATGCACACATATATGCACACACACTTTTTTTTCATAAGGAGCCAATGGTAGAAGAAATCACAGCTAACAGAAAATAGTGACTCATGCAATCCTGCAATTGTCTATGTTTCTACAAAGAACTCTAAAGCACTTTCTTCTTTCTAACGTTCCTGGAAAAAGACTTTGAAGTGAAAGAGCCTCAGAGTACTGACTTATCTTGGGGAGGGTCTCTGCAGTAATGCATCTTTTTAAATTATGCCTCCAGAGCAGCAGGCACTGTAATGAATAACACTGGCAGTGAGGACGGAACTCGTGCGAGTGTTGGTGGCAACACGGCACACAGTTTTCTCCTTTGGATTTTATCCTCCCAAAAATGGTGGGGCCTTTCCATTTTTACACTGGCCTCCCTCACTGACAGCCACCTTATTTCTAGGATCCAGAGGAACTCTTGCATGCTGGTCGCAGGCACGCAGGCACTGGCAAGACTGCACCAAGGGTGCATGCTCAGTTGCTGGTGTCTTGTGGTGAGCACACAGCAATCACACTCAGTGTATCTCCAGGGTCTTTGCTGAGTTCATCAGCACCTCAAATAGCACATCACACACCCCCTCCCACATGTGAAAACAAATGAACAAAAAGGGAGAGAGTTGTCTGAGCTATAGCAAAATGGTGAAGAGCAGAGAATTTAGGACTAGAAGGGACTGTTGCAAGTTCGGATTTGAGTCCAGAGCCCTGCTCTCATCTTGATGGAAAGACTGGCATTTTGCTGCCAGTGGGGTCAACCTGACTGTCTTCTGTGACTGCATTGGCAGCAGTGTGAGTTCACCGTGCAGCCACGCCCACCAGCGGCTAAAGCCGCTGCCCTTCCCAATAGTCATCAAGACCCACACACCATTAGTTTTTCTTTCAATGTCTGATTTGCTCTCTTCCTATTCAATGAGACCACTGTTCATTGTTTGTGGATTCAAAGGATGCCAAGAACATGCAGAGAGAGAGAGCCCAGGCTAGAAAATAGTCCCTCAAGATGCACATGGTCTGGGTGTGCATGGGGGCTTGAGCTTTCATGCCATTTTGCTGCTTGACAAAGCCCAGCATGGCTAAGATGGCAGCAGTAAAGGGAACTGTCACGAGCTAGGCTGGACCCCAGGACACATCGTTTTCAGAGCACTTGGGCCATGTGGATAGACCTGGGTGTGTCCTAATGGAAATCCCTCAGGGGTTTTAAGCTGCCCCTAACTCACCTGTGTGCACCTTGTAGAGTCCACATGGGGATCTTCCCTCTGGGAGCCTTTCCTGGACCTCTCTGCATCAGACTGGGTGCCATCCTCATGTGTCCCTGGGACACGTCTCCTAACACCACTCTGGTTGTGATTTGTCATTATCTGTTTCATGTCTGCAGGATGGTGAGCTCCACCAGGCAGGGACAGACAGCACCTCACAGCGCACCTTCCCTGTGCTGGAATGACTGATTGAGTTTATGAATGAATAAACCTGATAAATGAAGAAGAATGACGGATGAAAAAGGGATGTCTTGAGCAAAAGAAGAGATCCCAAGCATTGGAGTATAGGCGTTAAAGTGAACTCCAGGAGGAGAGGCAGAGGGGGCAGCTCAACATTGCAGAGTTTCGTGATGGAGATGAGGTGTAGATGGCAGGGAGGTGGGAGGCAGTCAAGTGCCAGGGATGGACTCAGAGCTGGGTTAGATGTGACAGAGTCTCCAACCGGTCTGAGGAGTGCTTAGATGTACGTTTAAATACACTGACGGTGTGAGTTTTGGTTTTGTGTGACTGAGGCATCCTTAGACCAGGTGAGGAAGCTGTCACAATCAGAGTTGGACTTTAAGTGGATGCTGCTTCTTGCAAACTTCAAGAAGTCAAGTTAGAGGCTTTATGTGGAAGTAACAAAGTGGTTGCATCCCCCTTACTTCTGCTAGGCAATGGCACTGCAGGGGCAGTGGGAGTTCCATAGCTGTGCAGGCTCCAGGTCGATGGGCTGGCATGCATCTCTACCCTGGTCCATCTAACCTCCCAGTAGGGACATATAGAATCAGTCTTTTTGGATTCTGCCACACCTAAGGCTTTAGAGCCCATCCAGTGGGCTGTACCATAGCCATGCATGCGTAAGCAATGCAACAATGAGCATGGAGCGAATCGTGCTATTGGCTAATCTGACTGAAGCGTCTTAAGTGCTCAGAACCTTGGTCCCTGTGTCATCCCACATCGCCTGCAAAGGGGGCCAGATCCCCTGCCAGAATCCCAGGACCCACTGATTCTCCTCTCTGACACCAGTTTTCCATGCGTTGGCATTTTTGCAAAATAACATTCCTTTTATATACACTGACCACATAAACACCCTCCTTAGCCAAACGCTGGCATTCTACAGTCTACCTTGACCTCTTTTTTGTGTGTTTGTATAGGCGTGACACGCACTCTTAAAACTGCTTGCGAAAATTAGTGTGACAAAGTCACACTGGAAGAGCCCCTAGCCATCACTATTTGAGAGTGAAATCTCGAGTCATAAATTTAAACATTAACAAAACAAAGTGAAAATCCAGAACCTCAAGAAGAGGAATTCAGTGCCAATGCAATCTCTCATTCGGTCAGAAAAGTCATTTGAAAGGCTTCCCACCCTCCTTACAAGTGTGAGAGGCATCAGCAGCAGGAGACTCCATGGAGCCTTTCTTGTACAGACAAGAAAAATTGCTTGTGCTCCGCCAGCATCATTGACTGTCCACTCCGCGTAGGCGCCTGGCAGGACAAGACAAAGCTCATGTGACAGCAATGGGAACAGCCTGCACATTTCTCTGTCACCACCGATGATAACCTGTGTCACCACCAGCATGTGCACGTTTTGCTTTTTTAAAGAACATTTGAGAATTCCCCTCTCCTTTGTCCTTCTCCTTCTCCCTGCTCCCCCGACCGAGCTTGGATAGCAAAGGGAGGTGACAGATGTAGGCAGCTAAAAATAGTTTGTTTTGCATGTAACATACAAGCAAGTGAATAATTTTCTTCTGTAAGAAAGACGCCCGGGGACAGGGGGAGCTTGGTGGCAATGGCAGCTCGGGGACATTGATGGAGTGCTGTTCCCAGCGCAGTAAATCAGTAGTGGCGTAGCTTGGCACACTCGCAAATGCGGCTGCAGCCTGGAGGAAGAAAATACAAAAGCCCTGGAGGAATACTTCCTGCATTTAAAAATTATCCTTGAGCTCTTTGTGGTTGACAGAGGGAATTTGATCATTTATCCTCAGCTCGTGTAAATGGCATAATGAATGCCCCATCTCCCCGCATTAGCTGCTTCCACTCCTGCCTTTGAGATAACCTGGAGTTTTATTTACCTTGGGCCGAGTGGGGCCGGGAGACAGCCGTGTGGGCTGCGTGCGATTCGGTAATGAAGCTCTCCATGAGGAAGCCTGGGGAGAGGAGATCACACCGCCCTACTTTCACATTACTGACCTAATGTAGCATCCACTTTTCTAGGGACCAGCCTAATCCACCAGGCACCTTGTCACTGTCACTCCGCAGGCTCCAATCATTCTCAGGATTGGAATTAGAGATCTGGGATTGGGTTTCTGCAGAGACAGCAAATTAGCCCCAATGCCTCTGTACAGAAAAAAAAGAAAAAAACTTGATTTTGGAGCTGCATGCGGAGGCTGGAAGGGACCTTTGTGGTCATGAAGCCCAGGCACCCTAAGGGATAGGGAACCAGGAGCTGTCCGTGGTTCTGACGCGCTTCGCAGCAGGACTTGAGTTCTTCCTGGCCTCTCCCAGGTCATGGCAGCTCCCTCTTCCACCTTATTCACTCACTTCCCCATACTGGTGAAGCTGACGTCACTGTTGCTTTTGTTTTTTGGGGGATGAAATCATGAAGTAACCCTAGCCCCCCACCATCAGCCACCCTCCAGGTGACCCTGACCTAAGAGTGGCCTCTAGCCCTCCAGTCTGGGAAAATGTAACACGTCAAGTGTAACTGGAAGTTGCCTCATCTGGTATGAAAGTGAGTGCGGGGAAAAATGAGTCATTCACCTTCCATCTGCAGGTGGCTAAGTTTATAGGTGCAGAGACTTTGTACTGAAAACGCTGCAAAAGGGAAATTCCAGCCCTTTCATGTAAAACATCATTAACACCCTTTAGGCAGAAATCTGTTTTTTCTGTGTTTGATGGCATGTCTTATTTAATGTAGCACCGTAAATAGGGAAGGCAGAGTAGAGTCCATTAGAGATGAGTTTTAAATTCCAGTTTTGCTGCTCACCAGTCCCATGGCCTTTGGGTGTCTGTGCCTCAGTTTCCCCAGGTGTAAAGTGGAGATGTGTGCCTACCTCCTGTTTATTAGTTGCATTACCTGAATAAACACCCAGGCCTCTTGGCCCTGCGCTTGCACACAGTGGGAATCCGTTCATGCTGATGTCATTGCTAATTAGGAGGGGGCCGCGGGGTGGAGGTTTCCTAGACTTAGAGGGGTCAGTGTGCAGGCCGTCTGCCTCTCCCGCTTCACCCAGAACATACCTGCCTGCAGTTCACAGCCAAGGGGCGAGTGTGTGTGAGTGTGAGTGTGGATGTGTGTCTGAATACTGAGTGTGAGTGGGTGTGTGAGTGAGGGAGTGTGAGTGTGTGTGCATGTGAGTGTGGATGTGAGTTTGTGGGTAAATGTGTGAGTGTGAGTGTGTGAGTGTGTGAGTGTCTATGGTGAGATGGCCTTGAGCTAATTCGCTATTTTGAAAGCCCTGTGGTGAGTGATACTTATTGGTAGCAGGTCAACTCTAGTAGCTCCTTCTTTATCTTGCTTTTATTTTATATAAATTATACCAATGTGGTGGTTTTTTCTGATCAAATGATCTGATTGGCTATAATATGTTATTTGAGCCATAACAACTGGGAAATACTTAATTGTAATAAATACTGACATAAATTTTCCAAAACGTGCATGTGGCTGCCTCTGCTGTTGACGATGTTTACTAATACTTAACTCATCCCAGGAAGATAGGGGAACTGAAGTGCCTGCATCCCTTTCTGCAGGGCCAAGTTCACGGGTTTCAGGAAGATTTGAAGTTAAAGGATTTGGGTGGATTGTTCATTCAACAAGTAATCATTGAGCACCGACAATGTGGCAAGCAATGCTTTGAGTATTTTTGATATAAGGTAGCCAAAATCCGTGTGCTTTTGAAGTTTATGACCTCACACAAGTTCTGGTTTTGATTTCTGAGCTTTTGGGTCAAATTTTCAAAAGAAGTCATTAATGGCACAAATACACAGAATGAGACTTTTTGGTCTAAAAAATAAAAAGAAATCATAATAAATGTCAAATATTTGCACTGAGGTAAAATGTAAATTAGTTATAACAGGAACACTTTTTTTTTTAAATGGAGTCTCGCTCTGTAGCCCAGGCTGGAGTGCAGTGGCACCATCTCGGCTCACTTCAACCTCCAGCTCCTGGTTTCAAGTGATTCTCCTGCCTCAGCCTCCCAGGTAGCTGGGATTACAGGCGCCCGCCACCACACCTGACTAATTTTTGTATTTTTAGTAGAGACAGGGTTTCATCGTGTTGGCCAGGCTGGTCTCAAACTCCTGACCTCAGGTGATCCACCCACCTTGGCCTCCTAAAGTGCTGGGATGACAGGTGTGAGCCGCCACGCCCAGCCAGGAACACATTTTTTAAAAAAGATTTATAAGGAAATAATCTTAACGGACTAACTTGGAAAGCAGAACGCTAGCAGATGCTGGTAAGACGTGCAGATGGAGGAGGGGCCAGAGTCTCCCAGCCACACTCTCGCAGCAAAGACGCAGTGAAACAGGTGCTCCCTAAGACCTTAAAGAATCAGCTTTCTGCTGCTCTTTTAACTACAGATGAGTTTCTGGCTAAAACCCCAGTAGCTTCTGTGTTCTAGAAATAAATACAGACCTTTTATTTCCTTCAAAAAATGCTGTGGTTTAAACAACAGCCTATGTGGTTTTTAGACCTGATATTGGGTTGTTCACATCATTTGTTTTTATGAAATTATAATAAAGCAGCTGACTTCAGTTATGATAGGTCAGCACGTGGCAGGTCAAAGTGGAAACACACCACTTCGTGCTGTTGCTTTGATTGGAGCTTATCAGCTTTTAGACCCTTTTGGAGCTAATCCATGCTTTGTCAATGCTAGATTCAGATTTAAATGCCCAGAGACTTTTTATTGAATTATTTTATATCGGGTGCTAAATAATATAATGAGATCCACCCTTGGTAACACATGGTGTTCATATCCATTACAGATATTTTTAATATATATTTGTAGTTTATGAAAATGTTTTTTAGATTTAGCTAACCTTTCCTTTTAGCAAAGATAACTAAGAATGAAGACAAAACAATGAATACTTTTTCGCTAGAATCTAAGCTTTTCATGGGTTCACTGACGTTAGCTAAGAGTGAATTTCGGATCTTGCAATTGTAGCCAAGTGAGACCACAGGGCAGCTTTGTCCAGCCGGGATGCGTTACATTCACCTCACCATCTCACCCTAAGCTTTCTTCTTATATCCTTTACTTTCTGTTACTAAAATTCACCATTTACCATTGGTCTCCTTTTGAGACGTCTATCTTCTCACTAATATATTTTTCAAATGATATACAAAACAAACAAAATACTTCATAGTTTAATAGTGTTTCAGAAGATTGTCCATAAAAATATTTATAGTGTATAGACATTTATGTGTGTGCATGTTTTTGTGTCTGTGTGTGTGTTTTTGTGTGTGTGTGTGTCTCCCAGGCAACAACAGGATTCACCTACGTAGTTTGTTATCTGGAAAATGCTTAAGATGTTCAGCTTAACTTGTGGGTTTAGTTTAGAGCATCCGCCATTTTTATGATTTCTGTCTCAATTGTGTTTTCCTCATATTTTATGTCAAAATGTAAATGGGCCCCTGGAGCCCCTCTAATGGCAGCAAACTGCAAGCTCTGACACTTGCTTTTAACCTGCTTTAAAAAAGGTAGAATTAGTTCTGTTTATTTGTCACTTTCTTTCAACAACACTAGTGATTCTCATACTGGACAGGAACCATGATATCTACCCCTCCCTCCCTAGTGTGTCCCTATTAAAGAAGCAGGCGTTCAGAAGGAGAGCTTGAACTCAACCCCTTCCACTTAAGGAGTAAGACTATAATTGTCCAAGGAAAACGAGACTTCTAAACTGAATTTTACAACGGTACAATCTCTAACAAACTGGCTAAGGATGGAGTAAATTTCCTTGGGAGAAACAGAAAAACACCCTCAGGAGATAGTGAGTTCCCCATCACTAGAGGTATGTAAGTATAGCCGCCATGCTCCCTCATCGATGGCATCCAGTGTTTACGGGCTGTGGGATTAAAACACACTTCAGATCTTCCCGCCAACACCCCATTAAGGCCTGAAGTTTTTTTCTGAGTGGTTCCACAAAGAACCACTGTGCCTGTTAGAAGGGCAGGTCATGGCTTTGCGGCTTGGCCTGAGCCCTCTTCATGTTTTTGTTTGTTTGTTTGTTTGTTTGTTTTGTTTTGCTTTGTTTTGTTTTGTTTGAGACAGAGGAGTCTCACTCTGTCATCCAGGCTGGAGTGCAGTGGCATGATCTCCGCTCGCTGCAACCTCCGCCTCCTGGGTTCAAGTGATTCCCCTGCCTCAGCCTCCTGAGTAGCTGGGACTACAGGCGCCCGCCACCACACCCAGCTAATTTTTTGTATTTTAGTAGAGACAGGTTTCACCATGTTGGTCAGGATGGTCTCGAACTCCTGACCTCATGATCTTCTCGCCTTGGCCTCCCAAAGTGCTGGGATGACAGGCGTGAGCCACTGCGCCCGGCCCTCTTTGTGTTTTATAAGAACGGGAAGTCATGTTGGAGCCCAAAGCTTTCTTAGGGTAAGGATCAGCTGTGATCATCAGGCTGCTCGTGAATGGTCTGGTACTGTGGGCCAGCCAGGGAGAAACACCCAGATAAAGCTCACCCAGTTCCAAAGCTGGTGGCGTTTCTTGGTCTTCTCTGATTCCAAGACCCTGGGACATTCCTGAAGGCTCTGGGGACTTCTCTTCCAGGGCCACATGACTGACCACAGAGCAGGCTCTAAGCCCTGCTCTAGGAAGAACCATGCAGTCAGCCTCCTGGATGCGGTCAACCTCCTGGATGCGGTCAGCCTCCTGGATGCGGTCAGCTTCCTGGATGCAGTCAGCCTCCTGGCTCAGTTCCAGGACAGGCTTGGCAGGCAGCAGGAGAGCACTCATGCCCATGGGACCATGGCCCTCCCATTCTCCTGAAGTGCTCCAGCTTTAGGAGATGGCCACAGCATGTCTGCTCCCTGCTGTTTCCACCCTGACTGCACAAACACTTGTACCATGATGAGGGTATGGCCCTGATGATCTCAAACCAAGACACTCGCCAAGACGGCTTCTTCCCCACTGGAAGTCCGTGTGAGTGCAGGCAAGGCAGCCTCTCCACCTCCTTTAAGAAAAAGACCTGTGTGACTTGTGTCACCTGCATGGAGGGAGCACGGATGAGAAGTATGTGAGCCCCCGACACACCATTTTAAGCAAATAGAAGATGAGTGATGAGTGGTGATTTTGCCTTTTCTCCCAGCTCGTCGGGTCCAGCTGTGTCATCTCGCAGACATGGAGAGGACTGGCTGCAGTGGGAACCACCATTTATTAGATGAGCAACCTTACAAAAAAAACACTTAATCCTAAATCTCATTCTACTCACCTGGAAAATGATGGTGATAAAATTATCTGCCTCATCGGCTTGTTGTAAGAAACTGTGTAATGCACACGAGGCTCAGAGAACGATGTCTGGCTAGCAGTCAGCACTCAATAAAGGTTCACCTGAAATATGTATCCTTCGCTATAATTGGCCTGACCAAAAAAAAAAACCTCATGAAAGTGGAACAATAGACCAAAGCTTTATAAGGTCTCAATTGAGTCAAACTGTTTAAGAAAGCTTGCCTTGAGCTACATGCATTATGGCTTTTATAAATGCCATTTCTGTATTAATGCTAAGAGATATATGTGACATCAAGTTAGTCAAATATATGTACTTTTAGCATTTAAATTAACTTCTTGTCCCAAACTCTAAATGGGGAAATATGTCATCTTTTTTCAACAATCAAAGCTCATTGTTAATTCACGAGTTAATGACATTTTGAGACTACTTCCATATATTGAAGTGTAATATCTGCATCTGTCCTCCATCTCTCCTGGAATGATTAAAAGTTGCTTCATTTATATTGGGTATTGAATGTGACAGGGTAATTCAGGAAATACAGAGGCAACTAATGAGAGCTAGAAAAGGAACTTTCATTATTGCCAAGTTTCCTCCATGTGGAAAACAGCCTGGAGCATCTCCTCCCAGCCACCCAAGACCCATTTTCCCCCAAACCTCTCTTTTCTGTCTTCTGGTGGAAGCAGCTCCAACTGTTCATTCTCACATAAAAATATTGGCGGTTTCTTTCAATGCCAGACAAAGAACTTTTCCATTTTAATTTCTACTTTTCCATTCAGCACCCCTGATACTAGTGTCTGTAGGGAAATCGCAGAAGTGGCGTTAGGAGGCAGCCCGGAGCAGTAGGAGGTTTGCTTTGCTCATAAACAGGAGCCACGCAGACACATTAACTTGGTGACGAGGCAAATTATTGCGAGCGATTAATACATCATCGTATGAAACTGCAGTTTAAGAGTGGCAACACATTTAAGTTATTGATATTTTATAGGGATGGGATAGAAATCTAATCAGAAGAATCATACTGTTAGAGGACAAGAATTCACCTTACAATACTTTCCCTACATGTTGCCATGGATTGTAACTTCTTAGGATCAAGGAACAAATACGTTATTTTAGGGAAAATTATTTGAAAACCTCAACACCCTGAAATTCTGCATTGAGGGTAATCATTTAAGACAAAAACCCTTGCCATCTTCTAAAAGAAAGTGTATTTGCTTTTCAAGAGTATAATGGGTTTCATTAGACTTGCATTTTCCACCAGTAATCAAGATTTGGGGATTGCTATGTGATTATAGCTCTAATCAAGGAAGAATGCCATAATTAAAGAATGAAGCTGGTGACAGGCAACGCTGCTCCTTCCTTCCCACTCCGAGCTGGCAAGGTGTGGAATTTAAAGGATTCTGTGGAAACAGGATTTACATCATCACGGCAGAAATATAAACTGCCAAGTATCTGATGTTAGCTAGAGCAGAGCCACTTGTGGTAAAAGAAATCTCAGTAATTTAAAATAAAATGGCTCAGGCAGAAGTATTCCTTCAGTGTGTCTACATCTGTTGTGTTGCGGACACCTTTAATTCTGTAAGATTTAAGCAACAGCCTTTCAATCATGAATGAGTATTAAATCATGAGGGCACTTTTCAGAAAAAAAAGAAAGACTGTTATTGTAAGTGCCAAAAGTTAAACAAAGGTGACCCAAAAGTGTTGGTTGGAAATTTTATATATAGAGAGAGATATTATATATATTCTACATAGAAATAGATATATATATCAATATTATATATATTACATATCAATATTATATGTTTTATAATTTGTGATATATGTTATATAATATATGACATATATAACAATATTATATATGTCATATAATATTGATATATTTCATATATTGTATATTGATATGATGTATATTATACATCATATCGGTATATATCAAATATCTATATATTGATATATGTAGATAGATAGATATCTATCTACATATATATAAAAATTGAATAAGTACAAGATTTATATCAACAAAGTGTTCTTACCAACATTCTTGTTGGCATTACTGGTGGCATGAACTGTGGTATCTCTTGCAACTGCTGGTCTGTGCGGAGCCTCCCCCCACATTACATAGGCACCATTTCTTTTGGTTTTTTACAGGGTTTCTCACTGTCCCCCAGGCTAGAGTGCAATGGTGCAATCACAGCTCACTGCAGCCTCAACCTCTGAGGCTCAAACAATCCTCCTGCCTCAGCCTCCTGAGTAGCTGGGACTACAGGCTCACACTACCATGTCTGGTTAATTTTTATATTTTTTATAGAGATGGGACTTTTCTTTGTAGCCCAGGCTGGTCTCAAACTCCTGGGCTCAAGTGATCCGCCTGCTTCAGCCTCCCAAAGTATTGGGATTACAGGCGTGAGCCACTGCACCTGGCTCTTTAGTACTTTTTAAGAAAGTCAGTCTGCCTAGACCAGTTTTGGTTTTTCTCCCAGCCTTGCTTTATGTCTTGCACCCCCCTCAACTCGCTCCGTTGAGCTATTTCTCATCTTCTGTGTACTGGAAACCAGTTCCCGGTATAAAGTCAGCTTTAACAAGGGAGCACCCGACCTCCAAAAACGTGCCTCAGAGCCACACCTGGGAGCCCAACACTGATGTCCCATGTGGACTTCGTCACGGCTGGGTTTACCTATCCAGCCGTGGTTTATGTCTCTTCGTTTCTTTGTTAGTTTGTTTTAACATCAGGTTTTCTGCACAGTGTTCCAGAGAGCCCTGTTGCTAGATAAGAGGCCTCTGGGTCAGTGGAGGGGCTTTGACAGCCACACCAGCAACTGTCCAGGGATAGAGTGAGGAGGTGTCCAGAGATAGCCAAAGCCTATTGCAAGGAACGAAATGAGTGAAGATAAAAGGGACCAGAATCGCTCAACATGTGTCTGAGATAAATGAAGAGTAACTGAGTAATGATTTAAAATTCTCTAAGAGAAATGTGGCCAGCCAGTTCCGTTCACAGGGAGGGAAGGGAGATGAAGACAGTGGGAGAGCTTTGAACCTAATCCAACGTGAGGCTGTCCCGACGGAGGGAAGCTCAGAGTGGGCGGGGCAATCACCCACAAAGCAGGGAGGTTTCATCATCCGGAGATTTCAACGCAACACTAGGCAGAGCCACATCTCAAGGGGACCTGTTGGGTTTGGTCTTCTCCAAGGGAAAATTTGACACTAATGCTTTCAGCAAGCACAGCGCTGTGGTCTCAAGGCTCATACCGTCTTAGATGAAGATCTTGCAGACGTATTCTAAGTTACATAGGACGTGCACCTGCCAGGACTGCTCAGCCTGCCGAGTTCACCACTCCAGGCCCAGCACTTTGCACAGAGCTTGACTCCAAAAACTCTATTGAATAAATTAACATGGGAACATTTCACTCTAGAAATGATCTAAATAATGAAGGAAGGTGATCATTCTCAAGGTAACCTATTAAAATTGTGTGTTTTTAAACTGTGGCACCCATGGTTGATATTTTTTAAAGGCACTCCTCTACGTAAGATACATTTGGAATTGTAAAAATGCCATAGACTCTTTCAGTGTACATTATAATCTTTTCAATTTCACAAATACACTTACTTTAGTTAATATGTATTGGATCCAGAGAAATATTTAAGTTTATGCCAGCTTTCCAGGGTTGAAATGAAAACCAGCTTTTACAAATACAGATTGGTTTGCTTAACCACATCCAGCTGTGACCAAGAATCGACTAGAATGAGAATAGATCAGAAAAATTAAAAAATGTTTGTTCTGGAAAGTAACTACTGGTTTTATGAAAAGCTTATTAGAGCTTGTTAAAAATGGACTATTAATGAATATTTGCACTTTTATATTGCTTTCAGTTAACCAGTGTTGGTTGTTCTGGTAATGAATTGAATTCAATTAAAATATTTTTATTACACATACATATAACTCTTCAGAGTGTATCAACTGGAAAGATTATATGGATATTGTGTGCTTCTAAAGTTTTGAGGTCATGCGACATATTATAATAAACATGAATTCAGTGCAGGAATCTTGCCAAGTATATGACAATACTTGGCAGGTTCATTTCCAAACACTTGTACACCTGGAGTGACCCTAACCTGCAAACTCCAGAAGAAACACATCCTTCCAGGTAGGAAGGAGTGCCTGGAGGAAGGAGCTTCCAGAGCCCAGGGCCAGCCGGCCGCCCCTCCTCTCAGCTCAGATGGTCCCTGGGGGTCCACGTTTCCAAGGAGCAGCGTTGAGAACAGCCAGTTCTGAGGTCACCTTGCCCTTGCCTAGGCTGGACACCTGGAGAGTCCTGGGAAAACAACCGCTGTGGTTTTCTTTAGGAAACATCACCTCTGTGTGCTGTGTCTGTGGCCTGATTGCAAAATACAAATGCCCATGTCCAGTGTTCTCACAGATGGGTTAGGTCTTGGGCCATTGAGTCCACTTTCGGCTGAAGGACCTGCTTACTTGAATCTGACTCTGGAGCGGGTGTGGCCCCAGGGTCCTCCCGGTGTTGAGGGAGGAGGAAACACACCCGTGGGGACAGGCGCAGAGGGCAGGTGGGAGCAGGCGAGGGTGGGAGAGGGGCCCCAGGAGCCACAGCACAGCCGGCAGCAGAAATGTGCAGATCAAGGGAGGTGTGAAGAGAGGGTGGAGACGAGGAGCTCTGTGTCCCTCTGTGCTGGCAAGGAGCTCCATGGGGCTCGTGAGGTGCCATGTAGGATGGCGGGTCGCCTGGACATGCGGGTTCACATGGTGCTGGCACAGGACACTCCCTCGGGCTTCAGGCTGCTCCACACTAGAGGAGGGGTCAGAGTCGGGGGCCTGGACTGAGTCCCTGGGCCTGCTCAAACCCTCAGGGAGAGCCCAGGACAGCCTGTCCCCTGAACACCAGCTCGGAGAGTCAACTGACAAAATTTCATGTGAAAATATTTTGGAAACTACTCAGCATTATTCAATATAAGATAGTGTGTGCACTAGCCAGGGTTCTCCAGAGAAACAGAACCAGTATGATAGATGGATGGATAGATAGATTACATAGAGGGATAGATAGATAGATAGATAGATAGATAGATAGATAGATAGATAGATAGATAGATAGATAGATGATAGATAGACAGACAGACAGACAGACTCACTCATTGAGTATCCCTTACCTGAGATGTTCACTTGGGATTTGGGTTTTTTCAGATTTTGGAATATTTTCAATACACTCATCAGTTCAGCGTCCACACTCTGAAAATCCAAGATCTGAAATATTCTGGTGAGCATTTCCTTTGAAATTCCTGTTGGCACTGAAAAAGTTTTGAACTATGGAGCATTGCGGATTTTGGATTTTTTGATTAGGGACACTCAACCTGTGTATGGGGAGGTTTATTATGGGAACTGGCTCATGTGATCATGGAGGCTAAGACGTCCCTCAATCCCTGCTTGGGCACTGGTGAACCAGGAAATCAGTGACATAGTTCAGTCCAAGCCCAAAGGGCTCAGAACCAGGGGAGCCAACAGTGTAGCCCTAGCCTGAGTCCAGAGGCAGAAGAAGCAGGAGAAGCAGGAGGAGAAGCAGGAAAAGCAGGAGAGGAAGCAGGAGCACGGGAGTCTGAGGCCCTGGGGAGAGGGAGGCCCACTCCAGCAGAGGCGATCCACCCTGCCCCCAGCTTCCATTCCATTTGGCCCTCTGTGGACTGGATGCACCCACCCACATGGACAAGGGCAGAGCTTCTTGACTCAGTTTACCATTTCAAATGCTGGTCTCTTCCAGAAACATCCTCCCAGATACACCCAGAAATAACAGTTGACCAGCCCCCTGGGCAGCCCCAAGCCCAGTCAAGTTGCCACATAAGATGAGCCTTTACAGCATGTCACGCTAACTTGGAACGAGTGTGCAGATGGGAGTGGTTCTTCGTGACTGCTGGGCTGTGAGGTCTCTGTCTATTCAATGCCACTTCATGCAGTCCCACAGTGAGTGGGAGGAGGACACTGGTGTGAGGATCTGCCATCAGTCCTTGACTTCTCAGGGCTTTAGGGCAGTTATTTCCCCTCTAGTCTCACCAGACTTGGAGAACCGTCATGGACACTGTCTCTGGGGTGAGGGCCACAACTCAGCCCACAGCCTCGCCATAGGCCCAGCCACATGGGCAGGTGCATGGTCACAAGGCTAGTGCTGTGAGTATCCAGTGTGTGTGCATGTGTGTGCACATGTGTAGTGTGCATGTGTGTGCAAGCACTTGTGTGCCCATGTATAATGTGTATGCAGATGCATATTGTGCATGCTTGTGTTTGCAAGCCTGTGTGAGTATACGTGTACTGTGTGTGCATGTGTGTGCACGTGAGTATTGTGTGCCTGTGTGTGTGCGCATGTGTGTAGTGTGTGCATATGTGTGTGTAGTGTATGCATGCATGTGGCATGTGTGTGTAATGTGCACATGCCTGCACAAGTGTGTTTATGAAGTTGGATGTTTAAGATCTATGTTGTTTTTCTTCATGAGATATTTAGTATAATGATGAATTTATCCAGTTTAGATTATTTTATGGCCCTAGGAACAGCTTAAATATTAGCTAAAAACAAGGATGTTTCTAAGATGTATACCTTTGAAAATCAACAGCATTTTATTAAAATGTCTCAGTCCTCCCACTGCCATGTTGTTTTTCCCTGTGAAGAGCGGACACATTCTCCTAAGGCAGTGCATGGCAAGCTCCTCTCTAAGATCACGCTTATCCACACCTCTGGGTAGCAGTTTCAGAAGAAGAAGGTGAGAATTTTAACAGAGAGAAAAGTTGTTGTTTAGAATTTCTATGACACTATACATTTCCAGAATAACTACAATAATCTGATAAAATTCTCACATTGTTTTTACAAATTACCATTTAAAAAATACATATTTTCCTTCCTAACTGTGAACCGAGCCACATTTTCCTAGATCTGGCAGCAGGAGGAGAATGGAAGCTTGGTCCTGCACTGCAGCCCACACAGCGTCGTCCTTTACCCAAGATCTCCAGTAGACAGACACCATCAAATCACCAGACCCATTCATCTGCCAGCCACCTCACTGCAACTGTAACTGACGTTCAAAGGGTGACCTAGCACTTCCTGGATGTAGAAGTCCTTCCCAGGCATCAAAGAGTGACGGAAGCACTGCTGTTCATTTGGGTTTCCTGTTAAGCATATTTTTTGCGCTCTGACATCGGGCATGGGAAGGTGATACGCCCTGGCATGACACCAGCTGGCCCTGAGCCCGAGCCTGCCCAGTCACCAGGAACGGGACCTCACAGTGGAACCCGAGGCAGCCTTTGTCAGGTCCCCGCTGGCTAAAGCTGGGTGAGCTGTTCCCTGCCGCGTCCAGCCTGTCTCGGTGCCAGGTAGTGGTGGGTGCTCTACAGGCCTCATTGAATGGAATGGAGGAAGGAAGAAAGTAAAGAAGGAAGACAGGGTAGAAAGGGTGGAGGTGGACGTTCATGGATGGCGTCGGGACCCCACGTGGAGGCACCTGGCACATCGAACGTGTTGCACACCCTTTTTTCTTGTTCCAGGGAAGCTAGGAACTCACTGTTGGGGCACTGGTTCACAGGCCACTCTTCCCACACTTCACCGCGGGTGGTGGCTCTACTGAGAAATAAGTATTTCCCTCATAATTCTTTTCTTTTTTTCTTTCTTTCATTTATTTGTTTGTTTGTTTGTTTGTTTGTTTGTTTGTTTGTTTTTGAGAAGGAGTCTCGCTCTGTCACCCAGGCTGGAGTGCAATGGCATGATCTCGGCTCACTGCAACCTCCATCTCCTGGGTTCAAGTGATTCCCCTGCCTCAGCCTCCTGAGTATCTGGGACTACAGACGCCCACCACCACACCTGGCTAATTTTGGTACTTTTAGTAGAGACGGGGTTCCACCATGTTGACCAGGCTGGTCTCAATCTCTTGACCTCATGATCTGCCCACCTCGGCCTCCCAAAGTGTTCCTTCATATTTCTGTAATCCAGAAATCTAAAATGCACATAGACCTTTAATAAACCACCATGTGGAAAAATGCACTGAGGCATTCATAGAGTCGCCATTTCTCTGCCTGAAACTTCAGCCTCTGGATCCAGCACACACCCCCTCTGCCCTGCCCAGAGTCACTGTCACCATGGGAGACCCAAGAGCTGAGCGAGGGTAGAGACTGAAATGTAAATGACTCGTGGCTTCTGATAGAGAGTTTACTGTAACCAGGGCACAGGGTAAGCCACTTTCCTCCGCCCCCTCCCTGAGAACAGGCTGGTACCCAGGGAAGGGTGTCACCGCTGGGTAGGAAGCCCTCCCCACCCCTTTATGCCCTGCCTTGCTTCTGTACTGCGTTGATCACCATCTGAAATTATCCTGTTACCTGCACGAGTGTCATCTTCTCCCATCCTCACGAGAACATAAGTGTCGGGAGGGCCAAGCTCTAGTCTGTCCCATTCATGGACCCAGAATGGTCTCTGGCCACAGTGGACCCTTCATGAATGTTTGCTAAATGTATAAAGAAATAATTATCTCCTATTTCTAAGATGAAACACTCAAAGCCAAAGGACCTGGTGCCATTGCTGGGTTATCTCATAAATCAACTGCAGCTCTAGCAAGCAAGGCTAGAGGCTCCTGTCTAGGTGGCCATGAAGTGCCAAGTGGGTGTGGCTGGGTGACTGCTGGGGTGAGCAAGGGCTCGGCAGATGGTGTTGGGCAAGTAGATGAAGGAATGACGGGGGTTGGTTTTGTCAGGTTCCTCCCTCCTCACGCTCCCTTCCCCCGCATTCTCTGTGTCTCGCTCCCTGTCTTTGTGTCCAGGTCACTTTGTGTTAATGCTGTTTTACTTAGCAGCCATTCTCGGAATGGCATGTGCAAGGCTGTTGTGTAACCCCTAGAGGCCACACAAGGGTCACAGGCAAATTTTGTCTCAGGTTACAAGCTGTAGGGGTTTAGTGAAGAGAGACAACGTGTCTTGTCAGGGATGGCAGTTTGGGGGAGTTTGTGAAGGGCCGGGGGTGAGCTGGACTTGCAGGATCTGCAGGTGCCCAGGCAATGGGGACAGACCCAGAGCGGAAGCACCCGGCCTTTGTGACGACCTGAGGGGCTTGAGTGCTGGGGGGGTTGGGTGCTGGGGGGGTTTGAGTACTGGGGGGACTTGGGCACTGGGTGGTGTTGGGCGCAGTGGGGAGGTTGGGCGCAGGGCGGGGTTGGGCGCTGGCGGGGTGCTTGAGCGCTGAGGCTTTAGCTCCATGGGAGCAGGAGGTAATGGGGGAAGTGAATTAGAATGTCACTGTGAAGTCCTGACCATCACGATGAGGAGGTCTCCACCAATCCCAGGGGACAGCATGGCTAGGAGTAAACCCACACTTGTCTCAGAAACTGATTTTTACCAACTGCAAACTGGCAGGTAGAAACTGTGCCCTGGCTCATCACTCACCAGGGAGTCCAATTCCCTGGGCCTTAGTTTTCTTGTCTAAACAAAGGAGAAAGAGTAAATCAAGTAACCACAAACCTCTCAAAATTAAAAAATAATAACCTAAACTTCCAAGGAACATGTTACTCGTGGACTCTGTGTTGCTAGGGGACACCCTGGCGAACAGCTTGAGCCAGTTTCACGCCTGTCCTCACTGAGGGTCTCAGCACTCCCCTCTCTCTGTCTTCTCATCAATGTCTCCAAGCCCCTCATGAGGCAAATGAAACCCGGCCAGCTGTCCAGCCCTCGCAGGAGCTACAGGGAAGAAGCACAGACCGATCTTGAGTCAGAACCCAACGGACACCAGGGAGGCCCCTCCAGTGGTCACGACACTGGGCAGCCGTGATTCGCTGGCCTGGAAGTGGGACCAGGGCCTGGCCGGAGGCCGCCGTGAGCAAATGGCGGGACTGGTTTCATTTTTCTCCATAGTTTCCAGAAGAGAAAGACACACCAGGAAAGTCTTTGTATTTCTCCCAGTTCGCTGAAAAGAAGGATTTCATTTAAAACGTAGAGATCCATGCTAAAATAGCTCAGGATTCAAATTCTTTTCCTTGAAACTGACTTACTTCCACACCCATGGAGGTTTCTTGTACAGAATGAAACAGGGACCCTAGACAGCTGAGTCTCTAGTGACATTCGGCCAAGTGTCAGAAACACATTTTTATCAGCCATAGCTGTGGAAGAAAAGGCCGTGATTAAACTATTTTCATTGTTTTAATATCTGTGTCATTCTCATGTAGAATCTTGGCTTATTAAGTTCCTCCCGGTGCCTTCACAGTAACAAAATTCTAAAATGTTTTGAAAGCATCACTTAGAGCCACACAACAATAATTAACAGCCTAGCAAGCGCTGAACAGTGAATGCCGATCGTAACGCAGCCTAACATCGGTAGAAAGCAAGTAATCACAGGCACTACCCACGGCTAGCAGGGTTGTGTGCTGTTATCATAAAGTACTGATGAGGCCCCCTCGCTCCTTGACAATGTGCACAGAAGCGACTTTTCCCCCTAAGCATGCCAGGGAGGCCAGAGGAGGCTGCAGGCAATGCATCGCCGCCCGTTTGCTCTCAGCCCCTCAGGCACCTGCTGCCAGGGTGCTCCAGGGTAGATGTGTCTTTCCTGCCTCTGATCTACCCACGCGTGGACAAGGGCAGAGCTCAGGCCAGTCACAGAGGGATGGGCGAAAGCCCACATCAGCCGGCAGTTTTCCAGGATGGAGGGTCAAGCTGATTTCAGACGGGGCAGACCTGTCTGCAGTGTGAGTGGAGGAGGGGTGATGCTGGGGGGAGTCACACCTTCTCCATGGCTGATGCCCTCCAGCTCCACCTCTTCAAGTGCTGGCACCTTGAGGACAAACATGACCAAAGAGACAGGTGATCTCTACGAGGCTGTGTCTCGGTTTTATTTGATTTTGTATATTAGAGAATGGGTGATCAATTAAAAGGAAAGAAATCACTCTGGGAGAGAGCAGTACAGACAGCTGCTGTAGAGAGAGAAAAGCCAGAGAAAACCCCTATGTCTCTTTCTAGTGTAATCTGTAAAACAGCCAGTGCTTCTGCATCTCCATTTCTTATGACAAACCAGTAGAAGTTAATTCCATTAGAAATCTAGGAACGTTAGATGTCATGGCCATGGCTGTGTAGCTGTGGGCAAACTTCTACATGAAGTTTTCACAGCTTATGGTTTTCTACTTTGATTATGGGGTCTGTGCAAGGACTGAGATTTAAGTTTAAAGTCAAAGTTCACCTGATAGACATTGAACTGTGCCCTTTAACCTGCAACAGATGTAAGAAGGTGATGAGAGAGAGAGAAAAAAAATTAAGATAGAAAGGCAATCAAGAGAAAGAATGGAGGAGAATTTCTCTCCTTTGTGGGAGGCGATCTTGCATGCACAGATGGGCCCTGCTCTCCGAATGGAGTCAAGTGTCCGTGATCAGGAGTCTAATCTTCAGTTGCCTTGGCTAGAAAAGCAACCTCTAAATCAATAAATCAATCCGAGGCTCGTCAAGCCCCTTCTTGTGCACGTCCCAAGTTATTAAAATGTATAAGTCTCAGTCTCGGTGCTCGAGGAGCTAACGATTCACCCGAGGGCCCGGCTCCAGTTCGAGTGGGTGACTGATGTGTGAGCCTGTGGGGAGGGAGAGGCGTCCAGGCCAGGGTGGGCAGAAAGCGGTGCTAGCGGGTGCGCCGGGGCCCGGGGAAAAGGTGGGACCTGAGTGGGTCAGGCAAGGAGAGGGCAGCAGGACCCCACAGAGAGGGATTCTTAGGAGGAAGGCACAGGGTGGGTGCTGATGAGGGAAGGCAGGAGATGCATAACCACAGCAGAAACCGATACATGTTTATATTAGGTTGGTGCAAAAGTAACTGTGGTTTTTGCATTTTTTAAATATATAGTAAACTATATATAATACAACATGTAACAATCGGGCCACTTCAGACCGTGCGGGTTGCTTTGTGCGTGGCTGTTAACAGGTGGTGAGCGACAAGCCGGGACGTGTGTAGCCACCTTCCCTCTGCCCATGGCCCTGGCAAGTCATTCACGTTCTTCCATGTCGAGTGTGGGGGCAGCCCGGAAATATCACTGAGGACAGGCCGTCGTGGGAGTTTGAGAGGAGCCAGTCTGCCTCACGGATGGCCTGGGAACTCCCATGACACGTGCAGGGGAGTTCACAGCCACGGGAGGAGGGCCAGGCAGCACCTGCGGAAAAGACCTCGGCTGCTGAGCAGAGGAAGCCCCGGAGTTCAAGAGGTGCCTGAGGCGTGGGCAGACGTGGGGTTAGCGTCCGAGATCCAGTGGAGGCCTGTGTCCATGCAGGAGAGAGCGTGGGCAGACATGGGGTTAGCATCCGAGGTCCAGTGGAGGCCTGTGTCCATGCAGGAGAGAGCATGGGCAGACGTGGGGTTAGCGTCCGAGGTCCAGTGGAGGCCTGTGTCCATGCAGGAGAGAGCATGGGCAGATGTGGGGTTAGCGTCTGAGGTCCAGTGGAGGCCTGTGTCCATGCAGGAGCGAGCGTGGGCAGATGTGGGGTTAGCGTCCGAGGTCCAGTGGAGGCCTGTGTCCATGCAGGAGAGAGCATGGGCAGACGTGGGGTTAGTGTCTGAGGTCCAGTGGAGGCCTGTGTCTATGCAAGAGAGAGCGTGGGCAGATGTGGGGTTAGTGTCCGAGGTCCAGTGGAGGCCTGTGTCCATGCAGGAGCTGAGGTCCAGTGGAGGCCTGTGTCCATGCTGGAGCGAGCGTGGGCAGACGTGGGGTTAGCATCCGAGGTCCACTGGAGGCCTGTGTCCATGCAGGAGAGAGCGCAGGGTCAGGCAGAGGCGTGAGAAGTGGGGCAGCCAGGCAGGTGCACACAGAGGGCAGGAGCAGGAGGCATGGCTGTGCTGGGTGATGAGGACATGGGAAGGCCACAGCTCAGCAGGAGAAGGGTGAGAGGGGTCGGGCAGGCCTCGCTGGGGACACTTAGCAACCTGGGGCTGGGTCCCACGGGCTGGATCTGTGGAGGCTGTCATTCCAGGGCATGTCTGCTGTCTGATGGTCAGTGGACATGTGTCAATTCTGTATTAATGTGATGACACTTGGACACTCACCATGCCTTCCCTGCTCTTCACAAAGCCAGTGGGGACTCCCGAGAAAGCTGTTCTGTGGCCTCCACCTGTGGAGCTTAGATTCCAAAACCAAGCCCTGCACCTCCAGAGGCCTGTTTTTCCCTCCGAGGAACATTCCCTGCCGTCTGTTCACTGGGATCCCAGCATTGTTTCCATCCAGGGCACTAAACACCCCACCAGCGCCAAGGTGCAAACCTCAGTCCCTGTAAGCTGCCCCTGATGGGCCAGCCCTCAGCACTGCAACCGGCATTGGGATTGCAACCCACGTCGACTGTCTGTCTCCCAGTTTTCCCTGGAAAAAGGGGTATTTTCCCTTAAAGGAGTGTAAAGATGGCGAGTTCAGCCTCAGGCTCCGCACAGGCCTGGACTCAGCACATGAGCTGAGAGCAGCCTCTGCTCCCGCACACCACGCTCCTTTCTGCACCACAGAAAACAGGCTGGAAAAATGTCTCTTGGGGTTTAGCTCTCAGGACTCGTCAATAATTCTGAACAACTTGTGGAGGTGTTTGGCCAATTCTGAACAGATGCAGATAAATTCACATTTCCCCAGACAGTTAAAAGAAAAATCTTTAGCTAACACAACAGTAGGAGAAACCTGTGTTAGACTGCCTTCTACATATATATATATGTTTAATTTATTTTTATTGAGATATACAAGTGGTTTTCATGATTCACCTGCTTCAGTAAATGCAGCATAACATCATCTGTAATTTAACCTTTAGTTTTTTTTAATTCCAAGTCAAGAAGAATCTCAAGCACTCACAAAAGCCATCTTCTCTTTCTAGTTTACTTCCTTTCAAGTACTTTTTTACCTTTAAAGACTCTGAAGATAAAATTAGAAGTCATTTTGTTCCTGCATATTGGTAATGAGTAATTATGCTGTCAAGTAGTACATAACTATTAATTACATGACTGCCTTTTTATTTCAAGGAGTTATTTAATAATTTTTTTAATAAAGAGTTACATGTGTCAGTCTCTTAAAAACATATCCATCAATGTTATTTTCAGAGGTGGGAAATTGTCATAACCTCGTGAGTTTCGCTCAGTTTGTGATTATAGACTTCACAGATGTGTGTGTTCTGTTGTCGCAGGAAATGACAGTAGCATCTGGAAGTGCACACCATGGTCCCCAGCCGGTGGGGAGGCAAGGTGGGAGGGCGTGCTCGGCTCCCAGCTGTGGGGCTGTGCTCGGAGCCACGGGTAGGAGACCAGGCAGGACGGCATGCTCGCTGGAGCCTGGAGTTGCATCAGATAATACGAGGAGAACCCCAAATCGTCTTTAGTGGTTTAAAATGGAGGCAGTCTGGATTCTTATTCTCTTTCTTTTTTTCTTTGGTTTTTGTTTGTTTTTGTTTTGTTTTGTTTTGTTTTTTCCGAGACAGGATTTCACTCTGTCACCCAGGCAGGAGTGGAGTGATGCCTTCAAAGCCCACTGGGGTCTCAGCCTCCTGGGCTCAGGTGATACCCCCACCTCAGCCTCCCAAATAGCTGGGACCACAGGTGCGTGCCACCATGCCAGGCTAATTTTTCATGTTTTTAGTAGAGATGGGGTTTTGCCATGTTGCCCAGGCTGGTCTCAAACTCTTGGGCTTAAGTGATCGATCCGCCTCAGCCTCCCAAATCGCTAGATCATACGTGTGAGTCACTGCACCAGCCTTGATTCTTACCCTGAATCTCTTTCACCAGCTGAGCTACCTTGGCCAAATCATTTCATCTTGCTGTGCCTCAGTGGCCCCATGAACAAATGATGATAATAATAGTGCCTACTGAAGGGGCTGTTTGAGGATTAAATGCTGTGGGTCTCTAATAAGCTCTATGAACATTAACTATTTGACTGCAAACTCAGCCCTCGTACTGGGCATTCCTGAGGGTGAAGGCCCCTGGTCCTGTAGGCGGGAGGGAGGTCTCCAATGTCTTCAATAAGGCAGGGAATCCATGCGTGTGCAATCGCACTGATGACAGAGAAGGTGATGACGGTACAACGGGACAGACAAGGAGTTCAAAGCAGTTACGGCTCACGGTGGACCATGCCTGGGAAGGCGGCCAGAGGCGGGTGTAGGCGCTGACAATGGAATTCTATGGGTAGTGACAAAAATTCTATGGGCTGTGTGAAATCTAGTTTTCTAACAAAAATTTTCCCAAAACAACAGTTTATATTCTTACTCAAGTGTAATCAAGTAAGTGCCATTCTAGCTATACAGTAGAAACTACTGTAGTTTGCAGTTCATGTATTTGTTGCAGCATTACTGACATGCTTCCATTCAATAGACTTTGCCCGTGCACAATTCAATCATTTTCACACATCTACAGTGTTGAGCTGCATGACCACCTGGGATGCGCCTCACGTCCTCTTGAGAATGTGGGCTTCATGGATGTGTGTGCAGAAGGAAGCTTATTTTTTCATTTATTTAATGATGTTTTTGCAACAATCCAATCCCACCCCCAGCCCTGGGCAACCACTAATGGATGCCCCATCTCTAAATATTTTCCTCTTTTGGAGATTTTGTATAAATAGAATCATGCCATACGTCACGTCTTCCTTCCAACTCCTGCTCAGCACAATGTTTTTGAGGCTCATCTGTGTTGGGGCGCGTGTCCGTAGTTTGCACCTTTGGCCTACGGAATGCTATTCTAAGGTTTGGATAGAGTTCCTGTTGTTTCTCCCCCTCTCTGTTGATGGACGTTTGTGGTGTCATCAGCTCTTGCTTGTTATGAATGAAGCCACGTGAGCATTCCCTGACATGCCTTTGCGTGGACGTGTTTTCATTCCTCCGAGGTGGGTGCCTAGGTGCTGAAGTACTCTGTTATATGGCGGGTATATGTTTAGCTATTTAAGAAACAAACAAACAATTTTCCAAAGTAGCTGTTGCATTCTAAATGCTGAGCAGCCACGCATGAGGAATCGCCTCTTTTCATAGTTCATCCAACACTTGGTATTTTCTGTCTTTTTAATTAGAGCTATTCTAGAGGGTATATAGCTGTATCTCATTGTGGTTTCATTTACATTTCCCTAATTACTAATGACGGTATACATCTTTTTAAGTTTTTGTTTTCTACATGTCCTCTTTAGTGGCATGACTGTTCAAAATTTTACTCCTTTTTACTGGATTCTTGTCATTACTGAGTTGTAGGATTCTTTATATATATATTCTAGATAAAAGTTCTTTATCAGATATATAACTTGCAAATATTTTCAACCTGTATAAGATTTATTTTTTCATTAAAGATGTGTTTTGAAGCTCAAAGTTTTAAAAGTTGATGAAGTCCAACTTTTTGATATTTCCTTAATGAATTGTGCCTTTTATGTTGTGTCTAAGAATTATTTGCCAAATTCAAGCTAATAAAGATTTTTTCCTGTTTTCTTCTAGGAGTTTTAAAATTTTAGCTAGGGTCTTTAGGTCTGTGGTTCATTGTGCGTTTTGTGTATAGTGTAAGGTAATGGTGTATATTCATTTCTTTGAATGTGAGTATACAGTAGAACCAGAACCATTTCTTGAAAAGAGTATCCTTTCCCCATTGAAATTTCTTAGTACCTTTGGAGGAATTAGTTGCCCATGGATGTAAGCATTAATTCATGAACCCTCAACTCTGTTCAATTTATCTAGATTACCTTACCTTGGTAGTAAATTTTGAAATCAGCTAGTATAAGTTTTCCAACCTTTTTCTTTCTTTATTTTTTTGCAAAATTGTTTTTTACTATTAGATCCTTTGCATTTTATTTTCATACATATTTTAAGAGGAGCTTGACATTCTCTACAAAAAAAATCCTGGGATTTGAGATTTGGCAGAGATTGCATTGAATCCATGGATAATTTGGGATGAATTGTTATCTTGACATCTTGACATTACTGAGTCTTTAAATCCAGAAACATGGAATTTCTCCCTATTTACTTAGGTCTCCTTTGATTTCTTTCAGTAATGTTTTGTAGTTTTCAGTACACAAGTCTTGCATTTCACTGTTGTTGTTGTTGCTGTTAAGTGTGTTCCTAACACAGTGAAAACTCATCTCTACAAGTAATACAAAAACTAGCTGGATGTGGTGGCATGTGCCTGCTGTCCCAGCAATTCCAGAGGCTGAGGCAGGAGAACCACTCGAGCCTGGGAGGCCGAGGCTGCAGTGAGCTGTGATCATGCCACTGCTCTCCAGCCCAAGTGGCAGAGTGAGACCCTGTCTCAAAAAAAAAAAAAGAAAGAAAGAAAAAGAAAAAGAAGAAACTATTCCTAGTTATTTATTTTTGAGGCTCTTGTAAATGTAACAATGTTCTTGTTTTTCTTTTCAGATTGTTAGTAATATATAAAAAGACGATTGATATGTTTATACTAATCATATGTCCTGCAATCTTGCTAAAATACCTACTAGTTCTAATATATTTTTTGTTGATTCTATCAGATTTTCTACATAGATGTTCATGTCATCTACAAATGAATACATTTTAATATTTCCTATGCTGGATGCCTTGAATGATTGGCATGTTTGTTTATTTTGTTTGTTTTGTTCTCATACTTGCAAGGACCAGCAGTATACTGTTGAATTCAAGTGTGAAAGTAGACATCCTTCCCTTGTCCCTGATCTACAGGAAAGCACTCAGCCACTCATGACTAAGGATGGAGCTGGGCATGAGTGATTCATATATGCCCTTTTATAGCTTGCAGAAGTTCCATTGTACTCAGAGTTGTTAAGGGAGTTTGTCATGAATGAGTACTGGATTTTTCCAATACTTTTTTCTGCATGTATTGTGATAATCAGGTGTCTGATCTTTATTTGATTAATATAGTATATTACACTAGGTGATTTTTACATTTTAGGCCAACTTTTCACTGTAGGCGTAAATCTAACTTGGTCTTTACATACACCCTTTTCATATGGTGCTTGATTCAGTTAGGTGATGTTGTGTTAATAGTTTCACATCCATATTCATAAGAAATCTTGGGCTATACTTTTTGTGATATTTTTGTGCTTGCTATCAATATAATATTAGAACAACTGAATGAATGGAGAGTCGTCTCCCCTTCTGCATTTTCTAGAACAGTTTGTAAAAGATTGTTAGTATTTTTTCTTTATTTAACAAATTCACCAGTGACACCATTTGGGCCTGGGCCTTTTCTTGTGTAAAGGGATCTCTAATTGTTAGTTTAATTTTCTTAATTGTTATTTTTGTAGTTTTTTTATTTCCTCTTTAGTCATTTTTGGAAATCTGCGCATTTCCAGTAATTTCCCCCATCTCATCTAAGTTGCCTCATTTGGGCCATAAAGTTGCCCATAACATGTGCTTATGACCCCTTTAATTTTTGTAGATTGGTGATAATGTTTCTTCTTTCATTTCTAATTTTCATAATTTGTGTCTTCTGTCTTTTATTACTGGTCGGTCAATCTAAATATGTCAATTTGTTGATTTTTTTGGTTTTCTATTTCATGGATTTTTGCTCTAATCTTTATTATGTCTTACTTTGATTTTAGTTTGCTCTTATTTTTCTACTATATTCACATGGAAGCTTAGAATATTGATTTGAGATCTTCCTTTCTTTCTGATATAGGTGTTTAAAGCTATAAATTTCCCTCTACTGTCTTAGTTGCACCCCATAAATTTTAATATAATTTTGTTTTAGTGCAGTTAAATTTTTTTCTTATTTTTCTTGTTTTTCCTTTATTGATCCATGGGTTATTTAGAAGTATATTGTTTAATTTCTAAATATTTGCAGATTTTCCAGATTTCTTTCTGTTGTTCAATTCTGATTTACTTTCATTGTGGTCAAAAACATCATTATATGATGCCAGTTCTATTAAATGTATTGATTTTTTTTCTAATCTAGCATATTATCTATTCGTAAAATGTTTCTTGTCCTTAAAAACAATATGTGGGCAGGGAATGGTGGCTCATGCCTGTAATCCCAGCACTTTGGGAGGCCAATATGGGCAGATCTCTAGGTCAAGATATTGAGACCCTCCTGGCCAACATGGTGAAACCCCATCTCTACTAAAAATATAAAAATTAGCTGGGCATGGTGGCATACCCCTGTAATCCCAGCTACTTGGGAGGCTGAGACAGGAGAATTGCTTGAACCTGGGAGGTGGAGGTTGCAGTGAGCCAAGATCGCACCACTGCACTCCAGCCTGGTGACAGAGCGAGACTCTGAAAAAACAAAAATACATGTTCTGCAGTTATTACATGAAGTGCTTATTTTTGTTAAATAGATTGAGTTGATTAATACTGTCATTTAATTTTCCACCTAATTGTTCTATCAATAAATAATACAGCAAATGTAGTTTTTTTAGAGTCATTGTATGGTGCGTATTTTTTCTTTTTTTTTTTTTTTTTTTACTTTCAATGTATTTGTGTCTTTGATTCTAAAATGTATCTTGTAGACAGCATGTAGCTAAATCTTACTTATTTATCTAATCTGATGATCTCTGCTCTTTTTATTTGGGTGTTTAGACCATTCATATTTAATGCAACTAATGATATGGCTGGATTTACATTTACCATTTTGCAATTTATTTTCCACATGTCTCTCGCCTTCTCAATCTCTTCCTGAATAACTGAGTGTATCACTTTAACTCCTCTGTTGATTATTTTACACCATTCATTCCTCCAAGCCAGGTGATCCATTAATTGCAGCCAAGAAGCTACAGTTCCTTCGCAGCCTGCCTTAATCTGACAGAACTTCTACAAGCTGCAGGGGGCAGGGGTTTCAGCTGTATAGTTGCTTTTGGAGGAGAGGGTTTAATTTTCTCTTCAAATGGCCATTGCTGGAAATCTCGCCTGTGATTTGTTTTTAGTGGCTTTAATGTTTTTGTTGTTGAGCCTGCCACAATGATCTCTCCAACAAAACAATACTCTTTTATTTGTATTTAATTCATTGAGAAACTGTCGATTACCACGTCACAGATTTTTAACTACCTCAAACTTGCTAGGTGGCACCACTTAAGATCTGACTTTTGGGAGCCTGAGAGGGGAGCATCACCTGAGCCCCAGGGATGGAGGTTGCAGTCAGCCAATATTGGGCCACTGCACTCCAGCATATGTGAAGTGCAAGACCCTCTCTCAAAAAAAAATCTGATTTTTAAACCTAGTGACACTGTACTTGAACAAAAAAAATGACTTGTTGAAAGTAAAAATTACTTTTGCAAATTATTATGAAGTGTCTTATGGTTGAATAATCAGAATTTTCTATAGGTATGTGAATTTTCAGGGTTGGTAGAATCTTCTCATTCATCTTAAGTTTGAAGCATTATTGGACTTATTAAAAAGGTGATAAGCTATACATACTTTTACAATATCCACTAAACAGTTATAATTTGGGGTTGTTGAATGGCAGTAAAGAGGTTATAGTCATGGTGGTGGATTTTTTAAAGTAAAGCTGGACTTATAGGATCTTAAATAAGAAAAGTTCATAAACAAGCCTGCTCTTCTAATTTACAGAGCAATTCTGTGACTCACCTAAAGGCATTCTGTTAGAGTAAAGGCTGGAACTTAGGTACACCTGTTTGGGCAGGCAGCAGATGGCACACTCAGAGGGTTAAGTAAGAAATTTAATAAAGGAAGTCGTCTTAAAGGTGCAGAGAATGTCACAGAAACTAAAGGGCATGATGAAGCTCCCGGGGAGATGCAGCCTTAGGGGAAAAAAGTGGACAGCAATTCACTGAACTCAGGGAAATCTGTAGTTGGAGGGGAAGAGCCGTCCAACAAAAGTTTTGAGCTTAAGAGAAACACAGCAACTGTCAAACAGACTGGAAGGAAAACTAACCCTTGAGCCTCCCTCCCTATCACTGAAACCAACAGAATGCAAAACCCTCTGAGGCCAGTTCCCAGGATGCAGAGCTCAGCAGGGTGGTGTGGAGTGTGTCTGCACAGGCAAACAAACATCTAGCGACAGAATGCAACCCTCTGAGGCCAGTTCCCAGGATGCAGAGCACAGCAGGGCGGTGTGGAGTGTGTCTGGACGGGCACACAAACATCTAGCAACAGAATGCAGCCCTCTGACGCCAGTTCCCAGGATGCAGAGCTCAGCAGGGCAGTGCAGAGTGTGTCTGGAGAGGCACACAAACATCTAGCGACAGAATGTAACCCTCTGAGGTCAGTTCCCAGGAGGCAGAGCACAGCAGGGCGGTGTGGAGTGTGTCTGGACGGGCACACAAACATCTAGCGACAGAATGCAACCCTCTGAGGTCAGTTCCCATGAGGCAGAGCTCAGCAGGGTGGTGCGGAGTGTGTCTGGACGGGCACACAAACATCTAGCGACAGAATGCAGCCCTCTGAGGCCGGTTCCCAGGATGCAGAGCTCAGCAGGGCGGTGTGGAGTGTGTCTGGACGGGCACACAAACATCTAGCAACAGAATGCAGCCCTCTGAGGCCAGTTCCCAGGATGCAGAGCACAGCAGGGCGGTGTGGAGTGTGTCTGGACGGGCACACAAACATCTAGCAACAGAATGCAGCCCTCTGAGGCCAGTTCCCAGGATGCAGAGCTCAGCAGGGCAGTGCAGAGTGTGTCTGGACGGGCAGGACGGGCACACAAACATCTAGCGACAGAATGTAACCCTCTGAGGTCAGTTCCCAGGAGGCAGAGCACAGCAGGGCGGTGTGGAGTGTGTCTGGACGGGCACACAAACATCTAGCGACAGAATGTAACCCTCTGAGGTCAGTTCCCAGGATGCAGAGCACAGCAGGGTGGTGCGGAGTGTGTCTGGACGGGCACACAAACATCTAGCAACAGAATGCAACCGTCTGAGGCCAGTTCCCAGGATGCAGAGCACAGCAGGGCGGTGTGGAGTGTGTCTGGAGAGGCACACAAACATCTAGCAACAGAATGCAGCCCTCTGAGGCCAGTTCCCAGGATGCAGAGCTCAGCAGGGCAGTGTGGAGTGTGTCTGGACGGGCACACAAACATCTAGCAACAGAATGCAGCCCTCTGAGGCCAGTTCCCAGGATGCAGAGCTCAGCAGGGTGGTGCGGAGTGTGTCTGGACGGGCACACAAACATCTAGCGACAGAATGCAACCCTCTGAGGCCAGTTCCCAGGATGCAGAGCACAGCAGGGTGGTGCGGAGTGTGTCTGGACGGGCACACAAACATCTAGCGACAGAATGCAACCCTCTGAGGCCAGTTCCCAGGATGCAGAGCTCAGCAGGGTGGTGTGGAGTGTGTCTGGACGGGCACACAAACATCTAGCGACAGAATGCAACCCTCTGAGGCCAGTTCCCAGGATGCAGAGCTCAGCAGCTCAGGGTAGAGTGTGTCTGGAGGGGCACACAGACATCTAGCACTACTTGCTGGTTCTGATCCTCGTTTTTCTTTTTTTTCTCGATGAAACATTCAAGTTCCCAACAGAAGAGAAATACAAAGTTCTAGCAGCAGTAGTTTTGAATGATGATTTCAATCCAGTTACACTCCCACTGGGACCCTCTATAGAAATGCAAGCCACCATCAATGCCCTTCCTATGTGGTGGCAAGAAAAATGGGAGAAAAAGTATAATTAGTCAACATAAAACACAGCTGCCATATTCCTCACTTCTGAAGGAGGGCACAAAGCCTAAATATAGAATTCCAGCCTCCCCCTGCCACCAGCATTGTAAAATGGATGATCCACTTTGCCATCTCCTCTGCTGGTTTGACAGGTGGGGTGATCTGAATCTGCCTTCTAGTAGAATCCAATTTTCAGTGGCTTTCTCCTTATTTAGGGGTCACAGTTTCCCATTGACAAATGCAATGAACATCATAGGCTGGTGAATTCGGCGTGTTTACAACACAGTGTTGCTGCCCCACTGGGTAGGAGCACCCACTTTCCGAAGGGAGGGACTGTGGTATTCAGGACAACAGTCCCTGCCCTGCCAAGTGGTGTCAACACTGGAGAGGTGAAAGTGTCCTGGGAACAGCCTCAGCCTCCTTCTTACAGAAGCATGGCCATCTTCTCCAGTAGAGGAAAACCTCCTTTGCTCACTACATCTCCAAATCCAGCATACCCAAGTCCTGGGGGTGGAAGAAACACATCCTTCCAGTGAGGTTGTCAGTGGGAGAGCCCAATTCCCATTCGAGTCTGTGCGTTCTGTGCCTTCTGACTGAGGGAAATGGCATGCATCGGACTTGGTGTAAGACACACTCTCCCGGGTGGACAATGCCCCACCCGGACAGCTGTGCACCCTGACACATCCACCATACCGCGCATCCTGGGCCTCTGGGTGGTGGGTAACTGGCGATGGCAGTGAGTCCTGGGCCACATCCAGGGCTGTGCTGCCTCCCCAGCATGGGCTGGAGGGGATGCCCAGCTTCTCTGGGGAGGGGCAGGCACACTTCAATCTGGAAGGCTGCTGTGAGCACAGCATGGCAGGGCGGGAAGGCAAGGCCATGGCATTGGCTCCAAGGTGGGGCAGGCAGTGGAGAGTGAACCTGGAGGCAGACAGACCACTAAGCAGTGCACCTGCTGACCATTCTAGAACTTTCCTTCATACCCTGTTCTCACTATTGTAATTTTTGTCATTATTTTCTAATAGCAAAAAAATAAAAATTTAAAACTTCAGGCCTCAGACAGAAGTAACTTTGTTTGCTGTTTTTTACCAATCCAACACATACACTTCTCAGTAGACCGAGGTGTACCCAGGGCCCATGAGCTCCTCCCCAACAATGAGAAGAAAGAGCCATAAACCCCTGAGACCAGTTTATGTTCCTAAACCCAAAACAAAAAGGGCATTTTATTATTTTTTTTTGAGTCAGAGTCTCGCTCTGTCACCCATACTGGAGTGCACTGGCGCGATCTCAGCTCACTGCAAGCTCCGCCTCCCAGGTTCACGCCATTCTCCTGCCTCAGCCTCCCGAGTAGCTGGGACTACAGGTGCCCGCCACCACACCCGGCTAATTTTTTGTATCTTTAGTAGAGACGGGGTTTCACCGTGTTAGCCAGGATGGTCTCAATCTCCTGAACTCGTGATCCGCCCGCCTCGGCCTCCCAAAGTGCTGGGATGACAGGCGTAAGCCACCATGCCCAGCCAAAAAGGGCATTTTTTTCTAAAATTCTTACTAAGTCCTGAAACAGACACACCCTCTCTCTGCTAATACTCATTGAGGGAACCTATTTTTCTGTATGGGATGGGAACTCATCAACAAAATCTGCTTTTTATTTCACTCGTTATAAACCCTGAGAGCAACATCTCCCATGTTTGGTGAACTTTCAGAAATTGATCCTTAATTTAGATAAATAAAATCATTGCTTTTTCTGTATTCTTTAAAATTCAAATTAAAACCCAGGCTGATGTAGCCAAATGTTTTTGCTTTGCCTAGTTTAAAAGTTCCAATGAGAAAACAATGTTTTAAGGAGAGAACAGTATCTATTTTGCTTTTTAAAGCTGTAATAAACATTGATGTTCTGTTAATGTAATCAATTTTTTTAACTTTTGTATTGAAACAATAGATTTACCTTTTACCATGTTAAGTTGATGACATCTGTACAAAAATATAAATTTTTCCTTTGAGAAAATGGAAATGCTGCATTCTTCTCTTTAACAGCCTCGGTGGTTTTCAGGCTGTCTGTGTGTTGTATCAGTGATGGACATTTAGACTTCAAGGTATAATTTCCAGTAAAGAAAAGTCATTTTATTTCCATCTGAATAAGCACTCTATCACACTAACCAAGTCAAACAAAGTTATTATCTGGCTTTTTGCCAAGGTATAAAAAATACAAAGGTCATATTTTTAATAGCTTTGTACTCTATAGTAATCAAATTGGAAAGCCTGGAGAAATAAACTCCTTGAATTTCCCCGTGCTTCCCGCGCACATTTAACCACTGGCTTGCTGCTCTCAGGTGCAGAGCTGCGGGCTTTCGGCTCACCATCCAGCCTTATCTCCATTATTAGCTTTGTACATAAAGGCATCGTGTTCTAATCATAAAGTAGCAGAAACCAGCTAATAAGAAACATGTCTATTCAACTCCACCTTTGAAGACTCTACCAAAAGATAACTTCCAGGAAAATCCCAGCTCATGGGTGAACACGATTACAGCATGTAAACCTGGATACACTGACGTGCTAATAGTTTACTCAGCTCTGCATTCACGAAAATGAGCATCTGCTGTATACTCCTTTTGTTTTGGGTGGCTGCATGAGTTGCTGGAAACTCTGCACAGTTACCCCACCCTGCTGCTGGGGTGGATTTTCAAATTCGCTTTGAAATCACAGGTAATCCTGAGGACTGAAGAATGTCTCATGGATGTTGTCCTTGAAATGGTAACGACAAGAAGTAGTAGGAAAAATTATAAAGACATGCCATTGAAGAATCATGATATTTATATTTTTGCTTAAAAAAAATCTTTTCATGGAATGGGTTTGAAGACATTCAACTGACCACACAAGACACACATTTCAGGCATGGCTAATGCTTGTTTTGCCCCAAAGGCATTCTGAGAACCATGTTGCTTCCTGTAAGTAAACGCCTTTCTTTGTACATTTCTCCTTCCACAGATCTTACTCTGGAGACGTTAGGGTAACAGTAAAGTTTACTTTTATCTCTGTCAGACAGATGCCGGGGAGCTGTCCATCAGAGCCTTTACAATTCTGAAGCTCTGTTACGCCCACTAGAAGTCATTCAATTCATGTGGGCTGTAACTCTAGAAGTAAACGGAAGTGTTAACTTGTTCACAACCCATTATCAACAGCTTTCATCAAAACTTCAGACACTATAATTTAAAATAACATTTATTTCAGCTACTAATCACTACAACCCAATAGTTTAAGATAGGGCTCTGCACACTTATCCTCAAGATCAGATAGTGAGTAGCTTAGGTTTTGCAGAGCAAGAGGCAAAACGAGGATATTATGTACCTGCTTATACAACGTAGCCCTTATAAATAAAAACCATTGTTACCTCATGGATGCCAAATAAACAAATAAATAACAAGATATGCAGGCTGCTGGCTGGATCCAGCTCAAGGGCCATAGTTTGCTGACCTCTGGTTCAAGAGAAGAGCCTCAGGCAACACACAGGGCTGCGATATTGGCTCTATCACTGGCAGGTGATTTGGACACGTTATTTAATGACTTTCAACCCTAATTTTCTCACCTATAAACAAGGACAATAATAGAGGCTGCCTCAGAGTTGGGAAGATGAGTAATATTAGGAATGTGTACTATCTACAGAACAATTGCTAGCCCTGTCTTAGCCTCTGTTTCAACAACATTTCATGACCACCTGCTGCTTTCTAATAGGCTTGACCCACCGGCGTTGTGACCGCCTCCTTATGTCCAGCCCCTCCCTCTGGAGCTCAGGCCTCGGGTCCTGGCTGGGGAGGGCGGCCATGGCCGCTCTGCTCTTTCCTCCTGGCTTCCCGTGTTCTATTTGAGGAACACGCCCATTCCCTCCTGCAGGGCAGATTCGTGCTTGGTGCAGAAGCACAAGGACGCGGCCCCTCCTCACAACTCAGAAAAAGACGAGGACCCCAGCCTCTTCTGAATTTCTCTTAATGGCTGATGAGCTGTGGGAGAGGCGGCCCCCTCGGCTCAGCCCTGGGGAGGAACCGAGTCACAGGACCTGCCAGCTGGAAAGATCCCCTCCAATCTCCCTGGTCGGCCCGAACCCACCTCATCGTGCCCCCCAGCGCTGGGAGATGAGTTCTGCCTAATTCCTTGTGATTCTGAAGACCGGTCTCCTTGCTCACACGGGGTGAAACAGAAAGAAACAGACAAGGGCAGGTGGGGGCGGGAAGAGGCCCCAGCTGCACCCCCAGGCACCACGCATCTGGGGTGCATGGTCCAGGGTTGCCCAGGGCTCTGTCTGTCCATCTTTTTTCACTGCTGCAAGAGTTTCCTTCAGAAGGAGATGGGTGGATAAGAGAGACACAAAAAAAATCTCATCGCTGGGACGATATATCAAGTCACCTTGAGCTAAGGTCGTGTGAAATGAATCCGCTACTTCTGGGCTGAAATTACAACAAGGCAAAAATGTTTTTTCCTCCTTTCCTTCAGCCTAATGTATGTGTCATGTTCCCGTATTAGGAACATCAATGGGGGCACCGTGCCCTGTTCCCAAGGAGGGAGGAAGAGGCCAAGATGCATTAAGGATGTGAGTGGAGGGGGAGAGCCGAGTTCTCATCCCACGAGACCCCCCACCTCCCCAGCATTTGGGGAATGGGGAGCTCCAGCGAGTGAAGCAGCAAGAGGGAGAAAATCAATTATTGGAGAGAGAATTTCATCCAGGCAGCTGCTTTCCAACGAAATGAGAGTGAATTTCCCCCTTGGATCAGATATACTGCCACTGTCTTAGTGTCTTAAATTATTTGTTCTGAGAGTAAGTTGAGAGAGGAACTGAGTATTACAGATTTCAGCAGCACACGCTGATTTATGGGCCTTGGGCACACTGAAGGTCCAGGAGAAGAAGAAAGATCGGCCGCTGGAAGATGCATTCACTCCGCGCCTCCAAAACGGGCCTGAGAGAGCCCCCAGCCCTCAGCCTGTGACACTCCTCAGCCTTTCTGGGGAAAGCCGGGTCCACGGGGAAGGTTTCCTCCCCCTCCCTTGCCCTTTGTATGTTTGGGGAGGTTTAGGACTACTTGCAGACACGCGGCACCAGTGACTGGAAAGTAAAGGCTTGTAACGTTGATGTCGTCGTATGGACCATATGTATTTCCTACCACTAATGTACAATTTGGTGGACATTTTATGGGCTGAATAGGTCCCCAAAATTCATGAGTTAAAGCCCCCACCTCATGTGTGTGTGTGAGTCTGTGTGTGTGCATTTACATGTCTATGTGTGTTTGTATGTGTATGTATGGGTGTGTCTGCGAGTCTTTGTGTGTGCATGTCTGTGTCTGTATGTGTCTGTATGTGTGCATGTGCCTGTGCACATGTGTGTCTGTGCATGTGTGTGTGTGTGTGTGTGTGCGCCTGCCCATCTCCATGAACAGTCCTGCTTAAAGCATTCTTGCTTGGCCTTATGACCTTGTGAAATGCCGGGACACAAACTAAAAGACCCCGGATGGAGAGGCATCTGTGGCCCAGCAAGTCCCTAGACGAGGGCTCTGACGAGGAAGCCCCTTATTCCCGGCTCAGCAGCTGGTGCTGGATGAGGACCCCGGCAGGCACCTGTCCCGACCCCACATCAATGACTCAGGTTTACAGGCCCCAGTGCCTAGTGCTTTTCTTTCTGTCCACTTGTTTTACCCAGAAAAGTAGTGCTAGTTACTGAAAATTATCCCTTTTTCTGTCTTTGCAAAGACATAGATGCAATGTTCATCACTGAGTGTGGGGACAGAGGGGAGCAAAGCCTGTTTCTGGCCCTTAACTTGGGGTCTGGGCTAGGAGAAAGGGGCCTGTGGACATATCGTATCGTTGAGACTGCACCTGGGTTCCCAGCCAGCACCTTGTGCAGAGGCTGGAGGCGAGCAGCAGAACTGCCCGTGTAGGGGCCCTGGGGCTGCAGGGAGGCAGGGAGCCCACGGTGATTCTGGAAGGATCCTGAGAACAGGCTGGAGGGGGCCTAGGAGCATTTATCACTGTGCAATTTAACATCTCTGACCTATTGGGCCTCTCATAATAAAACAATCTTAAAAAGGAAAACAGGCAGTAATAATAAAAAAAAAAATGCAGCAATCCAATTCAGCTGGTGGCTGCCCAAGCTTGAAGGTCTCTGGGCACCTTTGCTTAAATAGCTGAAAACAAAATTATGCTAAGCAGAAGCATCTGAAGTCGGCCTGCTGCAATCCTAATGAAGAGGGCAGACGGGGACTGTCAGCGCCCTGCTATTCATCACCTGCCCTCCGATGCTGGAGAAGGGTGTTTAAACCAGACACCTGGAGAGGTGATTTGCTAACGCTACGCGTGGTCATGACCACAGACACAGGGCGACACACTCTTTGCAGCCACACAGCTCACCCGGGCCCAGTAGAGCCCAGTGTGTGGGTTAAAGCCCCGCCCATGTGCTCCCTGTGTTGATAAAAGAGTGTCCCCAAGGGAAGCGTCTTCCTAGGGTGTTCTTTCAGGATTACAGACACACAGTTAAGAGAGCACGCAGTCCCTCATGTGAAATGTGAATATTGAAACACCCTCTGTGCAACCAGTCAGCTGATGCCCTGGCTTAGGACCGAAGGTTTCTCATAAGGGAAGAGATGGCAGCTGTTGGATGCATGCAGGAGAGCAGATTTGTGGGTCCTCGGGCCAGGAGGCTTCTTGGCCCTGAGAACCTGAAAGCAGGAGACAGGGGCAGACAGGGCTGGCAGGTGGGGGTGCCGCCTTCCCAGGCACGCAGCCTCCTGGCACCAGGGCAGCAAAGAGTTAATCAGGGAGACAAACCCGCTGTGACCAGCGGGTCTCTGTGCAATCATCAGGAGAACTAGCTATTATAGCCCGTTTAATAGCTTGAAAATGAACTCATTAGTGGTCTTTTATCAGTGGAAAAAAGTCTATTAAACCCGGACGTGTGAGGCAGCAGCCCTGCGGCACATTCCCATCCCGCCTGTGAGCTGAGCGAATCCGAAAAGCGTCTCTGGGAGCAGGGTCAGGCTCCCTGAAAGGGGACCAAAGGCCAGCGACGCCGGGCACCAGGCACATTGCTCCTGAGATCTTCGCCTTAATTTATAGTTTGGTGGGCGTTTCGGGTCCTTCTTTCTAGCCTTCTGCATTAGCCGTGCAATCCGCAGGGGCAGCCTCAAGAGGATGCCACGGTTTAATGTGGTGTTGCTGCAAGAGGGACGCACAATAGGGCATGGCCATCCGGCACCCTGCAGGGGCTCAAGACAGAGGGCCGGCAATGCGGAGGGAAATGCTGTCCCTACCCCCATCTCCCCTCCCTCCCAGACTTCCTTCTCTCCTTCCTTCCTCCTCCCTCCCTTGCTTTTCTTTCTTTCTTTCTTTCTTTCTCTTTCTCTTTCTTTCCTTCCTTCCTTCTTTCTTCTCTTTCTTTCTTACTTTTTTCTTTCCTTCCTTCCTTTTTCTTTCTTACTTTTTCCTCCTCCTTCCATTTTTTCTTCCTTCTCGTCCTCCCTCCTTCCCTCCCTCCCTTCATTTCTCTTTTTTCTTCCTTTCTTCCTTCCTCATTCCTTTTTTCCTTCCTCTCTCCTTCCCTCCTTCTGTCTTTCTTTCTCTTCCTTCCCACTTTCCTTCCTCCATTCTCCTTCCTTCTCTTTCTCCCTTCTTTTCCCCTTTTCTTCCTTTTTTCCTTCCTTCCCTCCTCTCATCCCCTTCCTTCCTCCCGTCTGTCAATGGTCCCCGAAGATAGAGTGGTAGAGTTCTTTCATGCACTGCACACTCACTATTTCCTGCCGCTGGTGACGATTTAAATTCTCTTGGACAAACATCTCAGCAGCAGCACAGGCACGCTGCGTCTCCATGACCTCTGGGACTGAGGGACCCGGTGAGCATAAATCCAGGAAATAAACTGTGAGGCAAATGCAAAAGGTCATCTCAAAATACCTTTTCCTCCTTTAATATCTTATGGACTTTCCAAACCCCGCTCCAGACGTTGGCACAGACTTTTATACTATGTCAAATCACTTTCCATTTGCATGGATCTTGTTTCATGAACAAGATGATAAATAGATGATGCCAGAAGTTGTGTTTTACCCTTCTTTCAGAATCCCCCTGAAACCTACGTCAGTTTCCAGTGGATGCTGTGGTCTTGGCCCCCCATGGGACAGGGCTATATTGCATTGCCCTTGCACACTGTTGTGTGGGGTGTGATGGGTAGACAGCAGTCTCTGAAATTATCAAGCTGGGAGCCATGTTAAAAACAACCACTACTTACCTATTAGAAGCCACTTTTCCACTTAAAGTTCATGCGAGGCCTGGAGGACCATGCCCTAAGCCCACAGAGGTCAGCCGCGTCATGTCCAGTGTGGGTGATGGCTGGAGCCCCAGGCAGGTCCAGAGGCACTGGGCGGATGCCTCCTGGAGTCAGAAGTCAGCCGTGTGACGTCCCCTGCCTGGAGTCATGATTCTATGCATGTCGCTGCGGGCAGGGTCCCTAGGGTTCCCATCGTGTCAGCATCAACGAGCTCTCGTACTTTACTGGAGGAGTGAATGGCACTGATGCAGAGCTCCTGGGTCAGGGCGTCCCTCCATGTCTGCAGGTGAATAGGGCTTCGGTAGCTGGTGCCTGGTGTCTGGGATGTGGTCATCATCATTTCTCAAGCAGGACAGCAGCCTGTGGCTCAAACGTGTGTCTCAGCTGCAGATCACAGCATTAGGTGATGAGAAACTTCAGAGCCGAGGTTAGGTCTTGGGACACAGAGCGTGGACTATATTTCTGTGACTCCAGAGTTTCAGGGTCCTTCAGACCTCTGTCCCAGCCTAAATGGCCTAGCATTACTAACAAGTGACAGAGAACCGGGTCCTCTCTAGCCTCTGATGGACGTGGTGAATCGTTCATGAATGGAGGAAGAGGGGCAGCTCAGCCCTCGGAGACCTCGGCCAGGGGAAGCCCAACTTCTGCCCACCAGAGTTAGGGATCAGCCACTTGCGAGAAGAAAATTCAAAGTTTCATTTTATTTATCAAAGTTAAAAGGCCTAACTGAAATGGATTACATTTCATATTTGTTGTTGAATTATAGACATTTCAAAACGTGTATATTGTTACCTGTCCAGATTAGACATTATATTTTTTGCTTTGTTTTTGTTGTTGTTAAAAATCCTCACTCCTTTTGGCAGTTTAAGTAGATGGTGGAATTCTTCATTCTTTGCCTGAATTACTGGTCTATTTGCCCCACATTCTGTCATGGATGGACAAAATCAGTACAAAATGGCACAACAGCACAGGCCGTTTCACTGGGGTAATGTGAACCTCAGGTTTAGTTTGCCTGACACACACTTGTTGTTGACTCAATGGGCCCTGGCTTCAATGGCTTCTGTTCCCCGTGCAGGAAGCAGGTACCAGCCCAGTGTGTCTCCTGTTCAGTCTGTGCAGGAGCCTGTCAGCTCTCCAAGTGCCCCAACCCACACTCCCATAGAGTCCCTTCTACTACCGCTAAACCTGCTTGCTTAGAGAAAGAACTTCCGGCCAGAAAGAAATCATCCCTTCCCTGCACCTTTTCTTCCCTCTTGACCACCTGTGGGACTCTAGCTGGCTCTCTCGTGGTCTCCTTCGGACTTGGGATGGACACAGGCTTGATGGATTCATCTCATTGCATGTTTTGCCAATCAGCCTCTGTCTGAAAGGCATATTGTCTCTTGCAGGCCCTAAACCTTTCCCACGTCCCTTCCTTGGGCTGTGAAGCAGGGCTCTCACCTGCTTGCGTAGAGAGCATTCTTTCACACTCCTCACCAGGTGTGTCCAGGGTTACCTGGGAGCTTGCCAGGCACAGCCAGGATGCTCCCCCCCGCTCAGGTTTCCAGCTCAGAGAGTCTGGGCTGGGGCTTGACTTTGCACTTCTAAGCCCCATGTGAGGAGAACTTCGAGAACTAGTGCCATAGGGTGAAGACTGTAGGCCCCCAGAAAGGTGCTGGGACACCAGCTGCATGCCCAAACTTGGGCAACAGGAAAGGAAGGAGCGGGGGAAGAGACATGGAGAACCTGAAACCCAGCCCAGGAATCACCAACGGGAATGATCTTGAATTGCGTGTAATTTTCACGTGAAAGAAATATACATATTGTAAATGCCATCCTTTAAACTAAATCACTAACAAATTGATTGGTAAACATCGTGATCACTAGACTGTTTGAATGTTTAAATTCCAGAACTGTGCAGCTGTTCACCCAAACTGATTGTTCTATGGACATTTTGTCATGAAAATCAATATTTTATTTCATTCCAATCATTGACTTTAGACATTCATTTGCCAGATAATGGGCTGCTAGTCCTCTTAACGTTCTCTAAGTTGTCCATAAATTCATATTCTAAGCCAATATACGTTGAAGCCCTTTTGCATCACTCTTCCTGTTATTGAGACATCTAAAGCAGAAATTTCATTTCTTTTCAAAGGTAAGGGCCCTCTTTATATATCCAAAATGTTTTGCCTCCTCAGGCAATAGTAGCTGTAGGTTGGGTACTTACTTTTTAAGAAAATAGTTATAAAAAGCAACTTACTAGGACTTGAATAAGTAAGTGCATTTTCCTTATCCCAATAGAAACTACATATATTAAAAATAAGTTACAAGTAGAATTATAAGTGCAAGTGCAGTAGGAAATGGTCACCCTGGACTTTTTACTGAATCCTAAATCCAGGCTTCTCAGAGGAGACCATTCATACCCATTCAATCCAGAATCAGAGATTGGCAAGGAAAGAAGGGCACCAGTGGTCTCCAGGCCCACCTCGCTCCCTGGGCAATGCCTCTGAGAGACGGGAAGGTGACATTGTCACAGTAAGAGCTGCGTGGAATCACAAGAACCTGATTGCATCAGTGACCAGCAAACCCTCAGGGGTTCCCTGTAAACCCCAGGCTGAAGGAACGAGGCGCTCAGGGACCCACTGAGGCCACAAAGAGAAGGCATGGCTTGCCAGCCAGAAGAAGAGAAGGAAGGGAGGACTCACCTGAACCATGGATTCTGCCCTGAGGGTCTGTTTGAAAACAGCTTTTTCGGTCTGGCTTTATGTAGATGACATTTCCATCATCCCTACGAAAAATTGAATATACTATTTATTACTATAACTCTATTAGATAAATGGGTTTATTCTGCTGTTACAAAAATAATTGCATGGAAAATGTGCCTTTTGAGTTCTCTGACCATAAGAGTTTGCCCTTTTTATCTCTTTTCTGAGTTTTGGCTATAGTATGCATCTCCGTCATAGCAGAAATGATAAAATTGGGAGACACTTGTAGTATTGCTCAGAGCTTCATGCACACAGACGTCCTCACCAAACTTACCACGAGAAGTGGTTGGGTGCCCCTTGAATCTAGAACCAAATAAAATACACCAGACACTATAGTTGATGCATGAACTCATTGTAACGTTCTCATGCGTTGAGGAGGAACAGGCTTAGAGGAGACAAGGACCGGTTACAGGTAATAGATTCACAGCAGCTCTTTCCTTTTGGTGTTAACAGTAAAGAGAATATACAGCAGATGTAAGATTCAAAACACTACAAAACCAGGCTCTTTGTATTTTACCCCTAAATTGTGCTACAGTATTTCTGATTGTGGTGTGAAAACGTAAACCGTGGCAGTGCAAACAAAACAGTGCCTGGCCTCTCCCTGGAGTAATTCTCCATCCACTCCCTCTCCCTTTCCAGGAAGGGCTGACCCAGGGCTCTAGGGATCTGGGTCGAATCTTCCTGCCTGTTCCCAGCCTGGAGATCACAGGGAAGCCACACCCACGCCTTCAACATCAGTTTCTTCTAGAAACAGTCAACGTCGGGTCGACATCAAATAATTCTTGTAAAGATTAAAATGAGATAATGCAAAAAAGGCTCTGACATTCACTAACTTCTGGAGAAAATACTGTTTATTGTTTATACTTTATAAGGCCATTCCTTGAGAGCTAGAATTTATCTGGGTTCTGTAGTAGCTGAAAAAAATATATTTTTCTGAAAAATTCATAGTAAATGCTGATTGATGACTGAGTATTGACTAGATAGATAGATAGATATAAAATATTGGCCAGAGGCAGTGGCTCATGCCTGTAATCCCAGCACTTTGGGAGGCCGAGGTGGGTGGATCACTTGAGGTCAGGAGTTTGAGACCAGCCTGGCCAACATAGTGAAACCCCATCTTTACTAAAAATACAAAAATTAGTCAGGCATGATGGTGTGCACCTGTAATCCCAGCTACTCAGGAGGCTGAGGCAGGAGAATCGCTTGAACCCAGGAGGCAGAGAGGTTGCAGTGAGCTGAGATCACACCACTGCATTACAGCCTGGAGACAGAGTAAAACTCTGTCTCAAAATAAATAAATAAATAAAATATATATGACTGTATATTAATACTACAGTTTGTGCCTAAGCAAATTATCAAATTTTTAGGACTCCATTTTTTACGATAAAATTTGAAAATGGTAAAAAAAAAAAAAAGATCACAGCTCTAAAATTGTATGTGACTGTGACTTATGACCACTGTACATACTGTGAGCTGTCACATAAACCACAAAAGTGCAACTGGCAGCGTAGAGAGAACCTCCATGGCACTGGGCACCTCGTGCTCTCTCGGTGACACTCAGGCCTTCCTTCGGCCAAGGAAATCGTTCTAATCAGGGTGATTTCAGACGCTATGGGTAGGAGGTTAGGGGACATCCTTTTCACAAGCAGAAATCTTCAGTCCTGTGATCCTCATCTCTGTCCAGGTAGCAGGGCTGGCCCTACTCAGGACCTCGAGGTGCAAAGGTCCTTAGAGCGGAGCGACTACCAGGGTCGGGCTCCAAGCCGGTGCTGCTTCCTGGCCCTTGTCAATGCGGCACCAGGAAGAGCCATAGCCATGGCCGTCCCTGACACAGCCCTGCTGTCATCCGGGGGTGCTGCCTACCAATTGTCCGAAGAATCCATCTTCCTCATCCCAGCTCCACCCCGGCCACATGTGTGAATGTGTGTACAGGTGTGTGTGTGTTAATGTGTGTACAGGTGTGTGTGTGTTTATGTGTGTATAGGTGTGTGTGTATAGGTGTGTGTGTTGATGTGTGTATGTGTGTACAGGTGTCTGTGTTGTGTGTATGTATAGGTGTGTGTGCGTGTGTGTTTATATTGATGTGTGTATGTGTGTGTACAGTTGTGTGTGTTGGTGTGTGTGCACGTGTTGATGTGTGTCTGTGTGTGCATGTGTGTACAGGTGTGCGCATGATGTGCATCTATGTATATACAGGTGTGTGTTCATATGTGTATGTACAAGTGTGTGTGTGTTGATATGTGTATGTGTGTATGTAGAGGTGTGTGTATGTACAGATGTGCATATGTGTGTGGATGTACAGGTGTGTATGCATATGTGTGTGGATGTATGTGGATGTGTGTGTATGTACAGGTGTGTGTGTGTTGTGTGTCTGTATGTACAGGTGTGTGTGCATATGTGTGTGGATGTGTGTATGTACAGGTGTGTGTGCATATGTGTGTGGATGTGTATGTACAGGTGTGTGTGCATATGTATGTGGATGTGTGTGTGTATCTGCACAGCCACCATCAAGGTTCATTCTTGAGGAAATAGCCAGGATAGCCTCTCCCTGGCTGTGCAATGTGGAGTCAGTTTCTCCAATGACAAAAGAAGTCGTGCCCTCCTCATTTATCATGGAGAGTCGATGGATGCCGGAGGGATGAGGAAAGGAGAAAAATCACGCTTCCCCTCCTCCATTCCTTGGGAGGCCTGTCATCGGGAGCCATTCTTCCCTCAGCGTGGTGTGAGGAATTGCTGATGTGGGGAGGGAGACGCTGGGAAAACACAACGCGCTCAAAAGTGGCATTGAAAGCAGAGTGGACCTGGCTCTCAGGCCTCTGCAGGCACAGAAGGAACCTCGGGAAGCGGCTCCTCCACCCTACTGGCCTGACCACCCGTGGTGTGCATTCAGCAGGTGCCAGTTTGAAAGTCCACATCAGGGTCTCTGGGAGTCAGTCCCCCGTGTGGAGTCAGCAGAACCCACTGCAGGACAGCCAGCCATCGCTGGGTGGTAGGGTAGCGACTTCCCCGCCAGCTTCAGGCCCTCTGAGCCTGTCCCTGCTCCGTTTGCACACAGCACCCAACACGCACCGGTTCCCATGAGCCCTCCTGCCAGTGGCTTCCAAGAGTCCATCTCTGAGGGAGAACTTGCTGTAGTGATGGCTGACTCTACTAAGAACGTCCATGAATTCTGCTGAGTCCTGGGTTTCCACAAAGGGAATGGGACCCCCTCACATTCAATGCTTTTGCTTTTGCTTTGTTTTATCTGTGGCTTAGTTTTCTATTGAAACTGAACTTTTCTCACTGTGACCCACAAGGATTGCAGTGACAACTGTTCCTAAAGATTTCTTTGAAAGATGCATGGAAGTACCCCGGAGCACAGACCGCAGCGGCTGATGCTGGCTTTCGGGGGAGCAGGTGGCTGTCGTCAGGAGCACATCGTCTCTCCCACCAACGTTCCTTGGACACCGATCAGCTTTGTGGTTCTTTTTGGTGAGCTGCTCATCAGCTCAGCACATGTTTCTAACGTGTGTACAGCATGCCAAGTTTCATGCAAAAGGAACAGACATGAGCCTTTTTCCTGTGAGGCCAGCTCTCTGGCTAAGACACAATAGCTAAGATCGGTGTTTATTTTTTAAAGTAGGCTTTAAATCATGTTGTTACAGGAAAATTGAATGCATTTGGCAAGGCTGAGATGGGGAGATTCCTTCAGGGCACAGGAAACCGTTTACTGTGAGAAGGGCATGCTGGCAAGAAAACTGGACTAAAGTTAACTTAGACCCACACTGCAGAGCCGAACCTGGATTCTGTCCGATGGCCACCAGTGGGGGCCCACCTGGCCTATCTTCCACTTGGTCATTGACGCCTGGGCTCCAGTGACCACTCACAGGCTTCACAAAAACCTAGGGAAGCTCCCACTGAGTCTCTGAGCCACACGTGGTGTCTCTGTGACTTTATGAGTTGGGTGTTCCAAAGAGGACGGGAACAGGCAAACTGGCTTTCTGTTCTGAGCAGCCGGTCTGTGGCCAATGCAAACCTGTCTGAACTTGTGTCTGAGTACTGCAGGCTCTTCACACTCAGAGCTCACTTCCTCTCATGAATTAGACGTAGCATCAGCCTCTGAGACTGAGCAAGGCCCTGCTGCAAGAGTCACTGCTTCTGCGGCCGCCGTCATCATCGCTCCCACCAGCTAATCTGCCTTGAGGAGCTGCGTGCTGGCTGCTTCCTCTCCACCATAGAATGCCATTTTCACATGCACCTGGGAGGAGGGATTTAGCATCACCATGGAACAGGGGCCTCAGAGAATCATAGATTTGCCCAAACATGTGCTGTTGTTAAGTTCCCTGCCAAATAGGAAGAATGGGAGAGTGGAAATCAATGGGACTCCTTCTAGTCGGAGCAGCTATTACATAATAAATTAGTGTCCTTTCTGGTAACACTGAATCTTTTTTTTTTTTTTTTTTTTTTTGAGACAGAGTCTCACTCTGTTGCCCAGGCTGGGGTGCAGTGATGCAATTTCGGCTCATTGCAGCCTCCGCCTCCTGAGTTCAAGTGATCCTCATGACTCGGACTTCGGAGTAGCTGGGATTACAGGGGCGCACCACCACGCCCAGCTACTTTTTGTATTTTTAGTAGAGACGGGGCTTTCGCCATGTTGACCAGGCTGGTCTCAAACTCCTGACCTCAGATGATCCCCCCATCTCAGCTTCCCAAAGTGTTGGGATTATAGGCGTGAGCCACTGTGCCCGGCCTCCTGCTTGAATCTTAATATCCATCCTCTATCAGGTGTTAACAATAGGATTGGACCCGGGCAATGAAGGCCAGCAGTTTCTGGGATAAGGTATTGCCAATGCCAGTTTCCCTAAGTGTAGCCAGGCCTCAGCACCCCATCCCAGGCAAACACCTAATGGGCCCATCTGAGGCTGCAGCTTCTCCCTGCCAGCAGATTTGCTTTTCCCACCACTCCCATTTCTGCACTATTTATACCACATGTGGCCTACCCTCAGGTGAACCTGGCATTGTCACGTGGAGTCCTCATGACTTTTTAAAAAGTAGAAGCAATTGTTGTCATCAAATTATTTCACAGGCCGGGCACAGTGGCACATGTCTGTAATCCCAGCACTTTGGGAGGCCTAGGTGCTCAGATCTCTGGAGCCCAAGTGTTTGAGACCAGCCAGGGCAACATGGTGAAACTCCATTTCTAGAAAAAAAATACAAAAATTAGGTGTGGTGATGCATGCCTGGAGTCCTAGCTACTTGGGAGGCTGAGGTAGGAGAATCACTTGAGCCTAGGGAGGCAGAGGTTCCAGTGAGCTGTGATAGCACCACTGTACTCTACTCCAGCCTCGGCAACAGAGCAGCACCCTGTCTCAAAAAGAGAAAAAAAACAAAGTTTCACAAAGGCTTCCAGACAGAGGAAGGGATACTTAAGAGGCCAGGTGCGAATTTTTTCCTAAACCCCTCACTGACCCACTTCACAATCTGTCTTTCTGTTGTGATTTAAAGTCCAACTGGGAGGGTTGCATCTTCCACATAAATTTAGTGTCCTTTCTGGTACCATGAATGTGTATTAAAATATTAATTAACGGCTCTTCAGGACTACACCCTCCCCAAACCCATATTTCCAATACGTGCTTCCCTGTACACAGGATCATAATGTGAGATGGTCGTGGAAATGATGATAGTGATGACAGTGGCAGTATTCACAGCTACCGGTCGTCACTGCATGCTTGCAGGTCAAAGTGACACACACTTTACATGTTTCTCACTTAATCTGTACAGTTCTTGTATGAATTTCACCCGTCATCATCCTCATTTTGCAGCTCAGCAAACAGAAGCCTCTGGGTCAGTCCCTGGTCATAGAACAGTGAGATTCTCCACGGCCTTTCCATCTTTGTTTCCACCCCCTCAGCCCCTGAAACTCTTTGTCAAGCGAGTCAACGCTGCAGGGAGGATGGCCCGTGCCAATCATAAACTGGGAAGCTGGAATTTTACGTCTGAGATACACTGGTAGCTCACAAAACACATACACACTTTCTCAATTTATCAATTAAGATTTCTTTTGAGTCCTCCCGTTAACATGGCACTCTTGGTTGTGAGCTACAATACTGGGCTGCATGGTAACAGCTGAGGGCCTGGGGCCACCACACACCGGCAGCTGCGCCTCTGTCCAGCCACACAGCAGGTGTGCACCGCGGCCCTGGGCTTCCGGTTGGGAACCTCATGGGCATCCGCTCCCTCCCCTGGGCTTCACTCCTTCCTGCCTGGGTGCCGCAGGCTGTGAGATCCCTGCCTGGGAGATCCCTTCGCTTCTGTCTGCGGATTCCAGTCTGCCTCCTGACCAGAGGGCCAGGGCTCTCCCTGGCTTGCTTAAGCTTTGACCCAGAGCTCCCCAGACAGCCAGCTCCTTCGTGTCCCCACGCCAGCTCTCCTGGGGCCTTCTGCATCTTCTGTGGGCTCCTCCTGCCCAGGGATCCTTCCTCCTCTCCTCTCAGGGGCTTGCTGTCAGGATCTTCCGGAATTGTGTGTAGCTCAGCATCAGGACTCCAAGCAATGGGCCACATCCCCGACCCGTTTCGGTCCAAGCAATGGGCCACATCGCCACCCGTTTCTCCACGGATATTTGTCTACTGTGGGCATCTGAGCAAGGCTGGGTGGTGGGGACTTGCTTTTGTTATTTTAAGTTATGATCCTCATTTATTTTATTTCTATAGATTTGGGGGCTATAGCTGCAGATTTCTTCCATGCATATATTGGATAGTGGTGGAGTCTGGGTTTAGTGCACCCACCTCTGGAATTGTGAGCAGGGCACCCAGCAGGGGATGTCTCAGTGCACCCACCTCTGGAATTGTGAGCAGGGCACCCAGCAGGGGATGTCCCAGTGCACCCACCTCTGGAATTGTGAGCAGGGCACCCAGCAGGGAATGTCTCGGTGCACCCACCACCGGAATTGTAAACAGGGCACCCAGCAGGTGACATTTCAGCTCATGCCCCCACCTCTGCCCTCTGCCTTGTGGAGCCTCCAGTGTCTACTTTTCCACTCAGTGTATCCATGGGTACTCACTGTTTAGCTCTTACTTACAAGTCAGAACATGTGGCATTTGATACATGCTCTGAGTTATTTTTCTTAGGACAATGGTCTCCAGCTCTATCCATGTTGCTGTAAAAGATATGACTTCTTTCTTTTTCATGGCTGCATAGTATTCCACAGTGTATATGTACCACATTGTCTTTATTCAGTGCATTGCTGATGGACACTTAGGTTGATTCCATGCTCTGCTATTATGAGTAGTGCTGCAATAAACAAAGGAAGGCAAGCATCTTTTTTATACAATGATTTCTTTCCCTTTGGGTAGATATCCAGTAGTGGGATTGCTGGACTGAATGGTAGTTCTATTTTTAGTTCTTTGCAAAATCTCCAAGCTGTTTTCAATAGAAGCTATACTAATTTACATTCTCACCAAGAGCATAGTAGCATTCCCTTTGCTTCACAAGCTCACCAGCATCTGTTGTTCATTGACTTTTTAATAACTGCCATTCTGACTGGTGTGAGACGATGTCCCATTGTGGTTTTAATTTGCATTTCTCTGATGGTTAGTGATGATGGTTAAGCATTTTTTCATATGTTTCTTGGCCCCTCATATGTCTCTTTTTGAAAATGTCTGCTCATGTCCTGTGCCCACTTTTTAATGAGGTTATTTTTTTTCTGTTGAGTTGTTTGAGCTCCTTGTAGATTCTGGGTATTGACCCTATGTCAGATGCAAAGTTTGCAAATATTTCTCCTATTCTGTAGGTTGTCTGTTTACTCTGTCAATTGGGAATTGCCTTAAAGATGATAAAAATCATAGTCACCTAAATATCTGCTTCATTTTTGCTATATACACATATCCCCCTCCCCCAAAAGAGAAAAGAAAAACACCCAGAGGGCTTCACTTGAAAGGCTTTATTTTCATTTCATTACTGTCATTTGCAAGATTTTAATGAAGGCTTACAACTCTTCAAAAGAAAGGCACCATCAGCATAATGTATAATTATTCCATGCTCTGTGCCTATATAATCATAATTCCTTAATACTGTGGTCGGTAGTTCTAGTGAACTTTCTTGAGTCTCGTGGCTCCTGGGCAGGAGGCTCACTTTCCCTTTAACAATCACACACTGCCACCCACCGTGGAGAGAAGTCGGCGATGAAGCCCCCCCATTCCCTTTTGCCCAAGAAGACTCTGGGCACCAGTGACGGGAAATGGAATAAAAGACTAAACCCTCCGGGTGCCAGTAAATCCTGGCTTGCTCCCACTCTCCCTCCTGCTGCGGGACACCCTTGCTTTGCCACTTCGTCAACATTGCCATCTTCCCCACTAGACCCCACGGACCCCACAGGCCTTCCCGGAGGTGCTTCTGTCCGGTTGTGCTCTGTGTCCCGGGGCTCATGGCCGGGTGACACCGATTCCCTCATCCTATTCTGAGCAGTGCTCCCCTGGTCTCAGCCACTCAGCCAGCGGGTCCATCCTCGGCACCTCCCCAGCCCCTGCAGGGATCAGGGCCTGTGCCAGGAAGCATCTCTCCTGCAAGCCTCTGTCCTGATGGGGCCTCTCCAGGGGGCTTCACTCAGCTCTTAGTGCAGGGGGTTGCACGTGAATATTTGTTAAGTGACATTTCTCTCCCGGTGCCGGACTTTATTCTCCTAGCTGCCGATGGTCATTATCAGTGTTATTAAATCATTTATAGAGCAGTAATGCTTACAGGGAGGCCAAAAGGATCCCTCTTCATGGAAGATTTTCTTTATACTTGAGCCATTTTACTCCTAAACAAGATAAACTTGTTGGTTTTTCCCCACAAGTAAATGGGATATAAGAAAAACAATCATGATGTTCCAATTGATGCCCATCACTGTTTTCCTTGTCAAAAATGTCATTGCCATTGAGTACCACTTCAAACTATGTTATTGTCATTTTTGAATATGAGTTCTTAGAAGACAATCATCCTAAAGATATATGCAACCCAGCAGTCCACAAAATCCAGTCATCCAGCTCTTGCACCTGGCTGGTTACCAGCATGAAGAGAGCCCCCTTCACTCTTTCTGTGAACAAGTCATGAAGGGGTGTCCATGAGACCTGGCCACAAGTGGAAACAGACCACAAAGCCGTAGGCAGAGCAGCCTGTCTGTGAAGCACACACCTGGAGAGTGCAGAAGGCATGAGCGAGGCCAGCGGGCTGTGGAACACAGCACATTTACTTTCCTGGAAGTGAGCTCATTCTCCCCATAGGCTCCAACATGTAGATGTCCAAAGCTGCTGGGCCTAGGGCTGCTCTGATCTCTGTGGATCCCCACAAACCAACTTTGAAGTCCATTATGACCGGCACAAATGTTTTTAAAATGGTTCACCTGGGAGGATTTTGTCTCTCGGCTGAATTGTAGAAATTGTGAAGACAGGCACCATGCAGAATACTTCTCTCTGGTCTCTCTGGGGTCTGTGCAGAACAAGCAGTGCCTGCATGGGGCTCCAGGGAAAAGGCATTGGACTGGGAGGACAGGGAAGAATCCCAGGGTCTGGCCTCATGGTGACAGCTGAGCCTCGGCCCTCAGCCTCTGACCCTGATGGCAGCCATGGTTCCGACCAGCAGATGCCCCTGCCACATCCGCCCTCCACACTATTTTTTCTAATACAAATCTGACTGTATTGATGTGTTGATCCTTCTGAACGTCCTTAGCCAGTGCCCTGGGGTGAGGCCTAGCCTCCATACCATACTGTCTGATGCCACTGCCGGGTGCTCAGTTGGTCTTTCTGGTCTCCCTGTTGCTGTACTCTGAGACCCTCTCTTCTCAACACAGGAATTCCATGCAGGCAAGCTGTTCTTCAGCGCATTTCTTGAATTTAATCATCATCTGTTCTCTGAGGGCAAAGTTTTTATCTTTTTCTGTGCCTTGCAAATGTTTACTTATTTTCCAAAAGCCAGCTCAAAGATTATCCATGCGGAGGAACCTCGGCTATGTTATAAGTGCACCGTTCCCAAGCCTCAGCTTCCGTATGACATTCAGGCCACGCCCCAGGTGCCACCTGGCTCCCTGCATTGTCTGTGCTGGGCGGGCAGGTCTAGGAATGAGCCACCAAGCCCCTGAGGAAAGACCGCTTCCTGCACTTCCTCAGATCCTGCAGCACAGCCCTGGTCCCCAGCAGAGATGGGGGAGGCAGTGGGCGCTCAGCGGCTGTGTGCTGGATGCGTGGATGGCACCCCACCACAGGTATGCCACACATCTTCAAGCCTTGCTCTGCCCCGATACAACGAAGTGGTGGGAGGAAGGGAGCCCGGATTGTGCAATTCTGCGAGTCTCCACTTACAGGACCTGATATCATGCCACTGGCTGAAAAACTGGAGGCTCTTTAAGCGTCCTCCAGCACAGGCTCTTGATCTTGCTCCAGCAGCCTAAGCTGCTTTAACTGTTAATTCTGAAAAGGAGCCCCTTGCTTAGCCAAGAAAACGAGGAGTGGGCGTTTCTCTCAGTGCTAAGGCCACTGCAAAGGGTCTGTCTGAGGCCCTGTGCTGGAGCCAGGGTGTTTGCTCAGCCCACTCAGAGAGATTGGGCCGCTTGATGGTGAGTTAGCAACATCTGCTCACGGCAAACACCCACGCCAAAATCCTTTCCAACAGACTGGGTGGAAAGGCCCTGCTCTTGGAGACTTGAGGTGAAAATGGCCCCACCACAGAAGACCTGAGGAGAAAAATGGAGAGAGAAACCTACAGCTATGTGGACAGGAGGCATGCTACCTCGCCCCGGGAGGCAGTCACGCAGACGTGGTTTTTGTTGTTGTTGTTGTTTTGTTTGTTTTTTGATTTTCTTTTGAGATGGAGTCTTGCTCTATCACCCAGGCTGGAGTGCAGTGGCACGATCTCAGGTCCCTGCAACCTCTGCCTCCTGGATTTTAAGCGATTCTCCTGCCTCAGCCTCCCGAGTAGCTGGGATTACAGGCGCCCGCCACCATGCCTGGCTAATTTTTGTATTTTTAGTAGAGACAGGGTTTCACTATGTTGGCCAGGCTGGTCCCGAACTCCTGACCTCGTGATCTACCAGCCTCGGCCTCCCAAAGTGCTGGGATTACAAGCATGAGCCACTGCACCCGGCCTCACAGACTTGTTTTTAAGTCAGTACATCAGGAGGACAAGCCGCAGCTGACTGGATGGCTCTTATGGGTCCTGCAGCTCTCCGAATCCCATGAGATGGGCCGGGCAGAAGATGTCATGTAGAAGCACTTCACATATCATCAAATTCTACTCTCAAGGGCTCATTCTTATAAAATTCCCCCAAACCATTCTACCAAGCACTGTATTAGGAAAAAAGAGAGAGAAGGGTAAAAGTCAAATAAACTTGGAAAAAGTTGCCCATCATCAACCTTGTCCATGCAGTCACGTTAGAAGTAATATTGCTGAGGAGCCACAGTTATAAGCAAAAACAAACCAAATCATAAATTAATTAATTCAAAGAAGACTTTTCTAAACTCTTGAGACTACAGAACTCTCTGCTTCTTTAAGCCCGCACTTATTACTACTTCGCAGAAATGGTGTACAGTGGACCATACTTGAGGAATTTAAATTTTAAAAAATTGTCATTGCTTGTATTTCTAATTACCAGTCACCTAAAGGATGTTTCATATGATTTAAATAAACTCAAGAGTATTGGGCACTCATGGTCACCTGACACTGTTGGACCAGAGAGGCGACCTATGGAGCATGGCTAGGGCAAGGGGAGCTGGGTGACAGAGGGGACCATGCCAGAGAGGAGACCTACAGAGTGTGGTTTGGGCCAGGGGAGCTGGGTGACAGAGGGGACCATGCCAGAGAGGAGACCTATGGAGGGTGGCTTGGGTGAGGGAAGCTGGGTGACAGAGGGGACCATGCCAGAGAGGAGACCTATGGAGGGTGGCTTGGGCGAAGGGAGCTGGGTGACAGAGGGGACCATGCCAGAGAGGAGACCGATGGAGCGTGGCTTGGGTGAAGGGAGCTGGGTGACAGAGGGGACCATGCCAGAGAGGAGACCTATGGAGGGTGGCGTGGGCGAGGGAAGCTGGGTGACAGAGGGGACCATGCCAGAGAGGAGACCTATGGAGGGTGGCTTGGGTGAGGGAAGCTGGGTGACAGAGGGGACCATGCCAGAGAGGAGACCTATGGAGGGTGGCTTGGGCGAGGGAAGCTGGGTGACAGAGGGGACCATGCCAGAGAGGAGACCTATGGAGGGTGGCTTGGGTGAGGGAAGCTGGGTGACAGAGGGGACCATGCCAGAGAGGAAACCTATGGAGGGTGGCTTGGGCGAGGGAAGCTGGGTGACAGAGGGGACCATGCCAGAGAAGAGACCTATGGAGGGTGGCTTGGGTGAGTGAATCTGGGTGACAGAGGGGACCATGCCAGAGAGGAGACCTATGGAGGGTGGCTTGGGCGAGGGAAGCTGGGTGACAGAGGGGACCATGCCAGAGAGGAGACCTATGGAGGGTGGCTTGGGCGAGGGTAGCTGGGTGACAGAGGGGACCATGCCAGAGAGGAGACCTATGGAGGGTGGCTTTGGCGAAGGGAGCTGGGTGACAGAGGGGACCATGCCAGAGAGGAGACCTATGGAGGGTGGCTTGGGCGAGGGAAGCTGGGTGACAGAGGGGACCATGCCAGAGAGGAGACCTATGGAGGGTGGCTTGGGCGAGGGTAGCTGGGTGACAGAGGGGACCATGCCAGAGAGGAGACCTATGGAGGGTGGCTTGGGCGAAGGGAGCTGGGTGACAGAGGGGACCATGCCAGAGAGGAGACCTATGGAGGGTGGCTTGGGCGAGGGAAGCTGGGTGACAGAGGGGACCATGCCAGAGAGGAGACCTACAGAGTGTGGCTTGGGCCAGGGGAGCTGGGTGACAGAGGGGATCATGTGGCACGGAGGAGGAGCTGGGCTTTGTTATACTTGCGAGGGCATCTGAGCTTATTATTGTCATCAAAAGCATTTTATCCCATCCTGGGTGTCTGGTGCTCTCAGCATCTTCTTCCAAACCTTCCTAAACAAGATCTTGAATTCACTCTAAAGGGATCCCACCCTGACAGGAGAATCCGGGGAAAACCAGGGTTGTAAAAAGCCCATGTACCAGGGTCAGCCGTAGAGCCGGAACCCCTGCCCAGGAGGGCCTGAGAGCCGCTGTCCACAGGCTGGTGGGTGAGGTGAAGGATGCCGGCCGGAGGTCGATCTTGTGTTTTCCAAGATGAACTGGCAAGAAGATTTTCTTTCATTATAATAATTTATCACTTACAAGATACCAGCGCTACACAGAGATTGCTGAATAATAGATGAAATTGTGCTGAACCAAGTCCCTGCCCTAAGGAGTTTTCCATGGGAGGCATAAGTGGAATCATGTCAGACAAGCATAACACAATCTGCCACCTCGTCCAACAAGACGGCGGCAGGTGGGGGGGTCCTGGTGAGTGTGTGCGTGTGTGTGTGTGTGTGTGCGTGCACGCCTCTGTGTGTAAGAGAGATTCAGAGACAGGGAAACTAGAGATCCATTTAATGTGGAGGGAAGTGGCACCCAGAGAGCACTTTCTGAATTGCACAGACACTGAAGACAGGGAGCAGTCCCCCAACCCCCAAAAGGGCACAGAATGAACTCAGGGGCTCCCATGAAGACCCCTGCCCCCAAATGCAGCCCCACTGTCTCGATGCCTTTGGGTCCAGGCATTCGCCAATAATGCAGCTGTAGACCCTCAGCAGCGAACCCTTTTAACAGTGCTTAGTGGGAATGAGCTGTGGGTGGGGGTACGAAGGGGCATTTTTGAGAGGGAGGAAAGAAGGAAGGGGATGGCACGCCCTCGCGGAGCCTCCGAGCAGCCCTGCAGTGTGGCCGAGGCAGGGACAGCAGCAGCCCTGCCTCTGGTGCTGCGTCTGGATTCAGGGTGGCTTCTCCCACCCACACCCATCAAACTCAGGCGGAGTCCATAACCTGGGGACCAGGCTCCCGGTGAGGCCCCAGCCCAGGCAAGGTTGAGGAATCCTCTTCTGAGGAACCACAAAGGATGAATTAAAAAGGCTTCGGACACAGATTCTTAGAACAGTTTCACTGAGGTATAATCGACACATAGAAATTGCACCTGTTTGCGGAGCCCAGCGTGGCATTAGATGGACAGGTACATTGTGAAACGATTTCCACATCTGTGCTCAGTAGCACGCCTGTGGCCTCAGGTGGTCAGTTCCCCTTTTACTGAGTAACCTGAGCACCCTGGAGACTCTCTCATCACAGCTCCTGCAGCAGACGACGCACGGTTACTGACTGCGTTTCCCGTGCTGAGCATCAGGTCTCCAGAAGGCACTCCTCCCATCCCTGAAACCGTCCACCGTCCACCTCACACCAGCAACCCCCTGCACGACTCTCCGGCTCTGGCAACCACCCTTCTGCTCTCTGTTTCTATGAGTTTGACTATGCTACCAACTTTTACAACCTCTACATGAAATACATGAAAAGACTGCTGCAAATCTCCAAGCCTGACAAAAGCACATGGTTTTTTCCGGTCAGCATTGCAGAGCCTCTCGTCTAACGGCCAGAGGGGAACCACGATGACAGACACTGGTGCTGCCTCCATGAGGAACCAGGTCCAGAGAAAATGCCTCTGGGCAGGAGGGGGAACTGCTGCCTTATTTTTATGTGTTTTCCACTTTTTATTTAACCATGTGGATATATTATTCATAAAAATGAAATTTAGAATAAAAATCAACGAGAACCCATTCACATTAGAACCAGCAACGTTATGGAATGAACTTCGTCATATGGAGCTATTATCTTGAGCCTGATTCACCCATGCTTAATTAAAACCTGAATTCCTGGTATTAATAGCTGATCCCAGTCTGGCCAAGCAATCTGAGGCTCCTAATGGGCTGGGTGCCACAACCAAAATGTGAAAATGAGCACAGATGGAAGTCACCAAGGCCACTGACCTGTGCAGGCTCAGCGCCACTATGCCTTGCGATGATACCACATGGGCACCCAAGACATGGAGGTGCTGGGAGCAACCATGGAGGCGATGCTGCCAGCAAGCCAGGCCAACCTCACACAGCCCACAGGGGCCTGGACACTCTCTCAGGCCCATTCCCCAAATCCAGCAAGGCCAGCCCACAGCTCACAGCCTGGCTCCCAGAGGAGCACCTGCTGAAGCCAGAAGGACCATTTAAAAACCACTTGACACTTTGGGAGGCCAAGGCGGGTGCATCACCTGAGGTCAGGAGTTTGAGACCAGCCTGGCTAATATGGTGAAATCCTGTCTCCTACAAACAAAAAAATTAGCCGGGTATGGTGGCAGGCACCTGTAATCCCAGCTACTCAGGAGGCTGAGACTGGAGAATTGCTTGAACTCAGGAAGCGGAGGTTGTGGTGAGCTGAGATCATGCCATTGCACTCCAGACTGGGCGACAGAGCGAGACTCCATCTCATACATGAAAAATAAAAATAAAAACCTCCTGAAACATGGGATGGGGGACAAGCAGCCGAGGACAGAAGCCAGCAGGCTTCTAACTCAGGGGTGGCCATGGACAAGCATAGGCCAAAGAGGCGGGGCCCATGGTTCTGATGGAGCTGGATGCCCAGACTGTGGACGCCTGGACCATGGACGCCCCGACCGTGGATGTCCTGACCATGGATGCCCCACTGTGGACACCCCAACCATGGACACCCCGACCATGGACACCCCGACCATGGATGCCCTGACCGCAGACGCCCCTCCGTGGATGCCTTGACCATGGATGCCCCAACAGTGGACACCCTACCATGGATGCCCTGATCGTGGATGCCCCGACCATGGATGCCCTGACCGTGGCAGGGTCCGCACCTTTCCACCATACGTTCTCCCCTGGAGGCTGGCGGTCAGGCTGAAGGTGGGTAGGTTCCCATATGAAAGTATCAGTCCTAAAAATGCCCACCATCTGTTCGCCACAAATGTGGCAGAATTCAGAACCAGGGTCTTTCCGATGTGAAAGGAAGGAATTCGGTGCACATAAATAATAACCAGTGGACTGATGGAGCCATGCCAGTAACTTGTGCATGAGAACACAGGAATATTCAGAGGAAGAGGGGTACACAAGAAGACAAAGAGCCTTAGGTCGCTTCAGGTTACGTCTCCCAGCCACAGGGTTTTAGATTTGGGAGCTTTTTAAAATGTGGATGAGGGTGCTGTGCTGTGGTTCTGGGCTGGATAGGCCTGATCAGAACAAAGCCAGCCAGGCCTCAAGCCGACTCCTCCAAGCATCGGAGGCCATGCTGCCTCTGTCAGGAGCTCTGTCTTGATCTGTATCGATCTTGTCATCTGCGAAGCTCTCCACATCTTTTTCTCATGAATTTGTGTCAAAGCAGATCCCACACCCCATTGCCTCCAGAATTGAGTGTGAACCCCAAGGCAGGGGCTGGCGTCCATCCAGGGTCGGGCTGTCTTCCTGCCTTTGTTCCCTGACTTCTGGCTGTCGAACCCACTTTCTCCTCCTTAGGCCAAAATTCCGAGCTCGGTATCAGGCATAGAAAGGTTTTCTCTGCCTTCATCCAGGCGATGTTCCAGCCGCAGAAGGGTGACTCTTGGTGCCATCTTTCTGCGTTTGATTGTTCACCAGCAAATCCTCCCAACAGCAGCACCGTCTGGCCTACCTAGCTCTGTCTACCAAGGGGGAATCTGTTTAAGACAATCTGCACATTAAATTCCCATCATTTGGCCTATCAAGTTCCTTATATTGGTTGCTCATGCTCCAAAAACCCAAGGAAGGGCTTTGTTGATCACCAAATCCAGGCTTGTTGGACCCGCTGCAGATAAAAAACCACCTTGACATAGCATCCGGGGTATCTCAAAATGGGAATAGAGGAAGATACGTTCAGGGTTTCAGGCCTGGGCTGGGCAGCTTTAAGGTGAGTGTTTCAGGGCAGCAACTGGAGGGATTGGGGAGAGGGTGTGACCTGTGAGCTTAGAACTGCTTGTCCTGCAAGGTGGGTCTTGAAGTGAGCCTTGAGCCAGGGTGGCCTCAGTGTGTAGCCTGTGATTGGGTCAAACAAAGATTTACTGGAGCCAAGTCATTTTCCCCTTGTCATAGTATTGTTGCATTAGTCCGCTTTCAGCTGTTGATAAAGACGCAACCGAGACTGGGTAATTTATAAAGAAAAAGACACTTAATGGACTCACAGTTCCATGAGACTAGGGAGGCCTCACAATCATGGCAGAGGATGAAAGGCACATCTTACATGGCGGCAGTCAAGAGAGAATGAGAGCCAAGAGAAAGGGGAAACCCCTTATAAAATCATTAGATCTCATAAGGCTCACTACCGTGAGAATAGTACAGGGGGAACCGCCCCCATGATTCAATTACCTCCCACCAGGTCGCTCCCACAACACGTGGGAATTATGGGAGCTACAATTCAAGATGAGATTTGGGTGGGAACACAACAAACCATATCAATTGTTTAGCACAGAAAAAAATAAAATGCTTGGTTTCAAATTGTTCAGCTGAGGCACAAGAAAGAGATCAGTATTATTTCTCACGGGAACCCACGCTATCTCCCCACACTTACCTATATTGCTTTGTAAGTGCTTATGAAAAAAAAAATCAAAACAACAAATAGACCAAATGCATAACCATATTCACACAGAACCACCTTCTTCTGTCTGAAACCGAACCTACACCATGATCATACACCCTGCTGAAGGAGTGATTTTCAAACATTTTTTCATTTTTCAAGGGAAGCAAGAAAGTCCTATATTTAAAACAAAGCTGAGTTCTTCTGTCTGGATGAGGACTGGAACCTCAGCCGTTCCCCTTTGCTGGAGGAACCCCTGAGGGTCTCTAAAGGGCCCCCGGACGCCCAGAACCCGACTTACATCTCTGGAGCCTTCATGTCAGAAATCATTGTTCTTTTTGTTTTGTTTTGTTGTTTTGTTTTTGAGGTCAAAATAATTCTTTAGGGACAAATTAATTTTACTCTCAAACTATGTGTACTCAGGAAAGGAGATAAGCACCTTTGGTAAAGGAAATGAGTATACAAGCGGTTATAATCATTTTAGCCATTAATGAAACAAAAATCTTTTGAATGCCAGAAGACAGAAAATTTGCAATTCCCCGGTGTAATTGAGTGCACGTTTATAGACTTCATTTTAGTTTTGGAAATAAATTCTTGCACAATGGAGATACCCTGGTTAATTTAAGTTATAATTAAAAACAACCCTAACTTATATATTGATTTCATTACATTGTATTTCATTTCTGTTTATTGTTTCATATTTTAACGAGTTAATAAAGGAGGCGTTTTATATATTTCTTTATGCTACTCACAAACCCACACTACGTCCTGAATAGAAATCACACTTGTGCAACACATTTTTTTCTTCCCAGCTACAGTAATGAGAATGTTTTTCCACTGACATTAAATAATCGCAGAGAATCCAGGAATCTATTCTCTGTGTAGGAAGGAGTCGGTTTTCCTTGTTTTCTGGGCAAAGCAACTTGAGATTTACTTGAAAGAAAAAGGTGTTGAGAAAGATCTAACCATCACCTGATTGAGTAAGGTGAGCAGATCCCCTCGGGGCAGAGATGCAGGTAATCACTTAGGAAAGTGAGATCCTGACCTTGGCACCATGTTGAAATGCCAGCCTGCATTGATCTTCCCACAAGAAAGGCTTCACTCTATTCCGGAAGTGAAGTCAAATGCATCTGAAAATGTGGGCTGAGCCATTCCCGACCATCCCGCCAGCTGCTCTCAGGTGCCTCATCTTCTGGATTTGGTGGCTTTCAGATCAAGCACTCGGGGTCCTTCAGCCAATACCCTTTGCTGCCTCATAATTCTTGTAGTTGCTGCAGGAGTAGAAAGCCAAAGACTGGGGTCAGAAGAACTGGGTTGGACTTTTTGTGGCTGTTTGTTGTTAATAGACTTTAATAATTTGGGGGTTGTGAACAGAAAATACCTGAGACAGGTCTCAATCAATTTAGAAAATTTATTTTGCCAAGGTTAAGGATGCACCCATGACACAGCCTCAGTAGGTCCTGATGACGTGTGCCCAAGGTGGTCAGGTCACAGTTTGGTTTTGGGGTGTTTTTTGTTTTTTGTTCGTTTGTTTGTTTGAGATGGAGTCTCGCTCTGTCACCCAGGCTGGAGTGCAGTGGCGCTATCTTGGCTCACTGCAAGCTCCGCCTCCCAGGTTCACACCATTCTCCTGCCTCAGCCTCCCAAGTAGCTGGGACTACAGCCGCCCGCCACCCCACCCAGCCAGTTTTTTGTATTTTTAGTAGAGACGGGGTTTCACCGTGTTAGCCAGGATGGTCTCGATCTCCTGACCTCGTGATCTGCCCACCTTGGCCTCCCAAAGTGCTGAGATTACAGGTGTGAGACACCGCACCCAGACACAGTTTGGTTTTATAGATTTCAGGGAGACCTGAGACATCAATCAATATCAGTCTGCGTAAAATGTACATCAGTTGGTCTAGAAAGGTAGGACAACTTGAGGTCAGCAGGGGCTTCCAGGTCATAGGTAGCTTTTCACCGAATACACAATTCCCATGTGAGAGGAGGGTAGAGCAGGAATCATCACGTAAGCCTTGGTCTGGCTCAGTGACTCTGCATTGTTACATAAGCAATAGGGCAGAGGAAGCAATTAGATATATGTTTGTCTCAGGTGCACAGGGGGATGACTTTGAATTCTGTCTGTCCTTTGTCCACAGGGAATTTCCTTGTGGGCAAATCACGAGGGAAGCATGTAGCTTTTTTTTATCTTTGTAGCGATCTTATTTAGGAACCAAATGGAAAACAGGTTTGTCCGATGCAGTTCCCAACTCGACTTTTCCCTTTGGCTTAGCGATTTGGGGATCCTGAGATTTATTTTCCTTTCATGGGGTTCACAGCATAATTGAGTGGTGAGTACAGAGTTACCCCATGCCCCTGTCCCCAGTATAGTCGCAGCCTCCCCCACTGTCCGCACTGCCCATCAAAGGGGGTTTTTGTTGTAGTCGATGAACCTACATTGACAATCACCACCACCCACCCAGAGTTCACAGTTTACATTAGGGTTCACCATAGCAGAATGTATTGTACATTCTGTGGGTGTAGACAAATGTACAATGGCATGTATCCACCATTACAGTATACAGCACCATACAGGGTGATTTTTCTGTCCCAAATCCCATGTACTCCACTTGTTTACCTCCCCCTCCTCCAAACCCTGGCAACCCCTGATCTTTTCATTGTCTGCAAATTTTCACCTTTTCCAGAATGTCCTAGAGATGGACTCCTACAGGATGTAGCCTTTTCAGATGGTCTTTCTTCTTTCAGTTAGCAATATGCACTTACATTTCCCCCGTGTCTTTTTGTGGCTTTGTAGCTCATTTCTTTCAAGCACTGAATAGCTGGATAATATGCCATGATCTGGATGAACCACAGACGATGTATCCATTCACCCACTGAAGGGCCTCTTGGTCGCTCCAAGTTTTGGCAGTTATGGATAAAGCTCCTACAACCATCCAAGTGCAGGTTTTTGCGTGGACATAAGTTTTAAACTCCTTTGAGTAAATGCCAAGAAGCACGATTGCTGGATCATATGACCAAACAATGTTTACTTTTGTTAGAAACCATGGAACTGTCATCCACAGAAGCTGTGCTATTTTGCATTCCCACCAGCAATGATGGGAGTTCCTGCTGCTCCACATCCTCACCAGCATCCAGGGTGTCCATGTTCTGGATTTTGGCCATGCTATTAGGGGTGTAGTGGCATCTCATTGGTGTTTTTATCTGCGTTCTCTAGTGACATATGATACGGGGCGACTTTTCATAGGTTGATTTGCCATCTGTATCTCTTCTTTGGCGTGGTATCAGTTAAGGTCTTAGGTGCATTTTTTAATTGGGTTGTTTGTTTTTCTATTGTTGAGTTTTAACTGTCCTTTATATATTTTCTCCTAATCTATGGTATGCATTCTCATTTTCTTGATGTTGGGTTCTACCGTGCACAAGTTTTTAAATTAAGTCCCATTTATTGATTTTGTTTTTATGGATTGTTTCTTGGGTGTCGTATCTAAAAAGTCAGCATCATACCTAAGGTCATCTACATTTTCTCCTATGTCATCTTGTAGGAGTTTTATAGCTTTGCATTTTACATTTAGGTCTGTGATTCATTTTGAATTAATTTTTACAAAAGCTGTTAGATTTGTGTCTGGACTCATTTTTTGGCTTGCGGATGTCTAATTATTATAGCACCTTTGCTGCTCTGTCAACAATCAACCCTTAACCCTAACCCTGTATTTGTGTGGGTCTATTTCTGGGTTCTCTATTCTGTTCCACTGATCTATTTGTCCTTTCTTTCACCAGTTGGTGCTTCTCCTTCAGCATTGTATTGGCTACTCTGGGCCTTTTGCCTCTCCACATAAACTTTAGAATGAGTTTGGTGATATCCACAACATCACTTGCTCAGATTTTGATTGAGAATATATTGAATCTACAAATCAAGTGAGGAAGAAGTGACATCTTAAAAATACTGAGTCTTCCTATCCATGAACATGGAATTTCTCTCATTTGGTTCTTGAATTTCTTTCTTTCGAGTTTCGTAGTTTTCCTCATATCTTGTACATGATTCGTTAGATTCATACCTAAGCATCTGACTTGGGGGTGGGCTGAGTTCTTTGTTGACCTAATTATCTATTTTAGTAAGCCATTCATCTCCTTTAGGCCTGCATCACTTCATCTTAAAAATTCTGCTTTATACACTGCACAGGGCTGTTGCAAAGACCAAATGATAAATCAGACTTGAAAGCTATCTGTAAAATGCAAAGCTCTGTAGATTCTCAAGATCATATTTGCATTAAGGGCCCTGTCAGTATATACAATTCTACAACTGTTTTTATGACAGTGACCCCTTGCCATCCTCTTATCATGTGGCATTTTTTACTTTTCTCTGGGAAGGTGAAATTTTGAACACTGCATATTGAAATGTGACCTCTGTGGAGGCAGAATAGGTCAAGTGTTGATCTATGGCATGAAGTCCCAATGGCTGAAATCCTGAAAAATTGTTCGTCCTTAATCCAACAATTACTTTGTGATGATAGATGAAATCGCAGTCACCAGGAGAAAGAGCAATATTGGTGACAACAAGTACAAAGTGGATGCATCTGGGAATACAGAGACACAAGTGGCTCAGCCCATGCACCAGGGAGGGCTTTCCAAGACAGGCCCATGACTGCTCTGTAGTGTCATTAACACGCTCATCAGAGCTGGGGGCTCTTATAGCCCCTGGGTCTGAGCAGAGGCACCATGATTATGAAATCAGTGCTGAAGGGCACTACGAGGAGGGTGCTGAATGGGGCCTGGCTGACATTGATCTTCCTGAAAACCATGCTTCCCTGTGACATGGAACTCATGGGAATTTATGGAGGGTGAGAGGAGCTTGAGCAGCCTGAGAAGAGTAGCATTTGCACTAGTGTTAGGGTCGAGCCACAGACACCAGCAGATGTGGCTTGAGTTCATGCACTGGCACTGACTGTTTGGCTGAGGGTGCTGCTTGGTGCACCCATTGCATTCAAACATGGTGGCAATTGCAATGGAAGTGGTCATCGTTCTGTAGCTATGACTGTCATTCATCTCCAGTAAAGGTGGAAAATATATCAAGAAAAAAATGCATGGATTTATTCTTCGAAGGCCATTTCTGGTCTTCTGACACTGCCAGGGAAACCAGGGCAGCACGAGGATGGATTTTGCTTCCTAAGGCATAAAATGTGGAGTCAAACGCAGGGATCTACCAGCTGTGGGTCAGTGCTGGGCAGACCCCAGTGAGGGCTGCTGCTGATAGGGGCCCTGAGACTGAGCATGGGAGGCAGCGAGGCCCTCCCTCTGCCACCAGCAGGTAACGCAGGGTCACGTCACTTCCCACTGCTGCCGAAGTAGCTGGGCCAGAGACAACTCCAACTCCAAATGGTTTCCTGTGTCCCAAGGTGCTCATCTACCACTTAATCCATTTCTGCCTCTCATCCATCATGTAAATGAAACGTGGAATGGTCCCAAGTTTCTTCAAGAGGCTGTTAGCCCTCGACAGCAAGTATTTTAGAGCTGATTAGATTAAGAAGGTCTGCTCGGACCTCAAGTCAAGTGCTGTTTATGCAGCTCGAGTGTCAACCAAGCTCAGTGGACCGCAGTGAGTAGGGAAGTGGCCTCTGGGGGAGGAGATGGTTTCCTGTTCCAGGGCAGAGAAAACAGCCACTGTGTACTTAGCATGTGTGGGCAGCGTGCTGAGATCTTGGCCTCTCTGCACACACACACACACACACACACACACACACACACACACACACATCTATTTCTAAGTCATCTCTATGCCTATCTGGGTGCATCTGTGTCTCTCTCTATGCACTATGTCTATGTATGTGCAGGTGACTCTGAGTGTGTTCTCTCATCTGTATGTGCTGTGTATACATTCTCTGTCTATATCTAGCTCTATCCAGATGTATGTTCACACACATGTATGTATATAGGTATACACACACACACTTAATACTCAAAAATTATCCATGAGGTGAGTAGTATCAGATACTCTAGACCTACCCCTGTGGTAGTTACTGTTGTTCCATTCTACAGGTTTACGTACAGGCTCATTACCTGGTCACGGTGGCAGCTAACAAGGAGTAGAGCCAGGCTGGGAACTCAGGAGGTGGCTCCAGGGCCCAGGCTCCACTGTTGCGCCTCCTGCTCTGGGAGTGAAGAGGCCACGTGGCCGCCTGAGCTCCTGTCCTCGGGGGAGATGGTGACATTTCTCTACCAGCAGAGGCAGCACCTTCCTAGAAACCCAGCTCCAGTGGAACTGGGTGTATGCTTCCAGGTAGCTGTCACAGGGAAAGCTCCCACGAGCGGAACGTCTGATGGGTTTAAGCCTCACAACAGTTCCAGGCTTCTTCCCCGCACCTTGAACATCGTTTGAGGACTGCTGGCCCCACAGCAGTCTTCTCCCAGACCAGGTTCTATCCCTGCTTCTAGTCAGTGTATTGGCGAGGATATAGAGGGCCGTAAACATTTTCACCACGTATTCCAGCAGCTCCACGCTGAGTATTTACCCAAAGGAGCTGGAAACATGTCCACACAAAATCCTGCACACAGATGCTTATAGCGGCTTTATTCAGAATAGGAGGCAACCAAGATGCCCTTCAGTGGGTGAGGGAATAAGCACTGGGCTTCATCCGCACGATGGTGCATGATTCAGCACAGAGAGAAATGAGCGATCAAGCCATGGAAGAACCTGGAGGAATCTTAAGTGCACGTTGCTACGTGAATGAGGCAGTCTGAAATGGTTATAAGGTGTATATTCTGAAAACATAAAGCTATGAAAACATACCAGTGGTGGCCAGGGCTTGTGGGGAAGGAGGGAGGAACAGAAGGAGCATGGCGGATTTTTAGGGCAGGGACGCTGCTCTGTGTGATGTTCCAATGTGGATCCAAGACACTCTCCACCGGTCCAAGCCCATAGAAGGTTCAACACCAAGCGTAAGCCCCAGCTTAATCTGTGGACTTGATAACGGGGTGGTTGTGCATTTGTGGGGAGGAGGTACAGGGGAGCTCTCTCTACCTTCTTTGCTGAGAACCACAAACTGCTCTAAATAAAATGAAATCTCTAAAAAAAAAAAAGCCTTAAGACAAATTTTCTCATCTCAGAAAGAAAGACCCGTGAAGAGATAAGTTACAATGCCAGACCAACATATATACACAATTTTAGAAATATGGCATAGCATTATCCTAAGCGAACTAATGCAGGACAGAAAACCAAACACCACATTTTCTCACTTATAAGTGGGGGCTAGATGTTGAGACTTCATGAACACAAAGAAGGACCAATACACACCCTGCTTGATGGTGGAGGGCAGGAGGAGGGCAAGGATTGAAAAACCATCTATCAGCCACTTTGCATATGAGCTGGGTGGTGAAATAATCTGTACACCAATGTACCCTGGCAACACGCGATTTACCTGTGCAACAAACACGTACATGTACTCCTGAAACCATGATAAAGGTTTTTTAAAAATAAGAAAGAAATCTGGCACACAGCATAGACAATTCGGGGGCACTGTTCAGCAACTGGTGACTCGCTCGTCTGCCTCGTCCAAGTTGTACATTCCTGGGGGAGTGGAGACTGTTTTCGTGAACAGGGATAACTAATGTTTACTGGGTGAACAGACAAGACTTCAAAAGGGAGCCCCTGAGTCCTGAAAGGTGAGCGGCTGCTAGAGACACCAGGCATGTCTGGGGAGATTCGGGGAGAGAATGCCACCTGGGCATCCATGGCCAGCCTGTGCAGGATGTCTGGACCACTCAGAAGTCAGACCAAGTGTGATGAGGGTTTGGGATGAGAAGTCACCAGCGGTAACCTCAGAGGTGTCAGTTGGGGCCAAGGAATTCGCCTTCTGTTGAGAAGTTCGTCCTTCCTCTTTCTCACATGATAAACTAGCATATTTAAATCAACTAGCTCAGATTTGGAGTCTTTATTTTATTTTTTAGGAAGTATTTCTGCTTCACTTAGAAAAGTGAGATGCTCTGTGTCTGTGACATGCTGCCTCACTGGAGAGTATTTTAGAGTCCCTTCCACCCCTTGACTGTCAAATCAGAAAGGGATCGCTTTCATTGAGCGCCTGTTTCCTCATGTACTCTTTACAGCTGAGTCACAATCTCTCAAATCATAGTCAACAATTCTCTTGATTCCGACCAACTGATGATTAACTTGCTGTTATGTGCATACTATAATTTCTCCATTTTCATCTTTCTTTAAAAAATGCAGAAATTACATGATTCAGCGGCACACATAACCATGTGGCTGAGTCTAACGCAGGCAATCGTAGGAGGATGTAAATTGTGCCTTCTATTCATTGTGTGGTTTTGCCAGGGCTCTAAGCCTCATGGGAAACAGTGTATTTGCCCTCGAACAGGTGACCGACATTCCCAGATGACAGGTCTGTGACCGCTGAGCATCTTCACCTGCCTGACTCTAAGTACTTGATATAAAGCGGTGTGCTAGGAGGATGCCAGCCTATCAGAGCTGGAAGGCAGGGTAAACTGAGGCAGTGTGGGCACCTGGGGCTCTCCCACCTCGTGGTATCCTGATCCATCCCGCTCGCTATCCACCTGCCTCCTGCCCTGATGGGCCAGGCTTGCTGGTCCCTGCCCACCTCTGCCCCTGGCTGCGGCATCCTTCCTCTGTGTCCCACCCCAGACCCCAGCGCCCAGCCTCACCAGGCGCATGGGGAAGCTCTCCCAGGGCCCCAGGGAGAATGCATGAGTGTGGGCCTGTGGGTGCTGGTGGTGTTTGTAGGTGTGTGTATATGCGTGTGTGTGCATATATGGGGGGGACATGTCTGTAAACGAGTACCTGTGTGTATAAACATAGGTACCTGTGTGCGGCGTGAATGTGTGCCTGAGTCTGTGTGAGTGTGCATGAGCATGTGTGTGCACACACTTCTCTCTGTGTGTGTGTGTGTTTGGGGTAACATGGTACACAGTGTGAGCTCATGGAGAACAGTGGTTCAGCCAAGGATTTGGGTACCCGGCCCGACAGCACCCACGGCTGCCAGGGGAGCCTCCAGACCCACGCCAAGGGCCCCAGGAAGCCGAGCACTCACAGGCGGGGCTGCCTTTGCACCAGCACAGCTCCCAGCTCACTACTGCCAGTGACTTGTTCAAGCTCAAGTCTGTCCTAGAAATAAAGCCTCACGCAGGTTTCAAAGTCGCTTGCAGTGATAAAATGAAACTAAGTTGTTTATATTTTTAATTTAAAAATGTCACAATTAACATGAACTCATTAAAGAAAAATAAGAAAATTTTAGTAACGCAATATTTTTAAATGTGTATTCAAAACAGGGATGAGTGTGACTTCATGCTTTGTCACCTGCTCTTTTTTGCTGCCTGGCCCTCCTGCCTCTGCACGTGCCATCTGTTCCGCTGCGGGAAGTGCTGGGAACCCCTTAAGTTCACCTCGTTCAAATTTCCATCCTATGGGGTGGTGAAGAGGTATAAATGATATACAGCACACACCGCCTTGCTTTGCTGGGTCTGCTGAAAGAAGCCCCGCAGATGGGGTGGCTGGAGCAACTGACTTTCCTGCTTCCACAGTCCTGGAGGCTGGAGTCTGAGATCAGCGTGTCCACAGGGCTGGCTCTGCCTAAGGCTTCTCTTCATGGCTTGCAGCCACTGTCTTCTCCCTGTGTCCTCACAGGGTTGTCCCTCTGGTTGTGTCTGTGTCCTCATCTCCTCTTTTTATAAGGACACCAGGCAGATCGGATTTGTGCCCATCCTAATGATCTCATTTTATCTTAATTACCTGTTTGAAGATCCCGATCTCCAAATACAGTCACCGTCTGATGTCCTGGGGGTTAGGGCTTCAGCATGGGACTTTGGGGGACACAGCTCACATGCAGCACATTGGGCTGCTCCCTGTGTGTCGTGTGCGGCAGGGATGGTGGGGCTGCACATTCGCTCCACCCACCGTCCTTTCCCACCGTCCCCTGGGCACCACCCTCACCAGCCACAGCCACAAGGCCTTCGTACAGCCTGGCACGTTCACAGCTGCCAGCCCTGGTCGGAGGCCCTGGTCTCAATGACGTCAGTGCTAGTCTGGGGACAAGCCCCACTGCTTTTGGATAGAGTCACCAGACCAAATAAAGGAGACCTGATCAGATTCTAATTTCAATAAACAACATCCACCTTCTGTGTGCATGAGGGTATCACTGCAGCTTCTGGATGGCCTTACACCAGGATGCACCTGAGCTTCTTTCCATCCACCTCCTGTGTGCATGAGGGTATCACTGCAGCTTCTGGATGGCCTTACACCAGGATGCACCTGAGCTTCTTTCCATCCACCTTCTGTGTGCATGAGGGTATTACTGCAGTTTCCGGGACAGCTTTGCACCAGGATGCACCTGAGCTTCTTTCCACCCACCACCTGTGTGCATGAGGGTATCACTGCAGCTTCTGGATGGCCTTACACCAGAGCGCACCTGGGCTTCTTTCCTTGCTGTGTCTGAGCCACCCCAGGCCTAGGGCTCTACAAGGTGGAGAAAGTTGGAGGGTCCTTCGTGAGAACTGCACTGAATCTGTTCAATCAGCCATGGGAACCCAAGGGGACAGCAACCACTGCACCTGCTGAGCCTCCCCGGGCCAGCAACCTACCCAGAGCCTGAGGCCCGCTGTCACCCAGCCCCAGCCCCTTGGAGACACCTCACTGCCTCCAAGACCAGAAGGGGAACTGAGGCTTGGAGAGGGCAAGCAGCTGCTGCCCCAGGGCCACACAGCAGACTGAATCGCACTTGACGAAGTCCACACGCCCCTCCTCATCCTCCACCTTCAATGTGTTTTGCAGCCATTGTCCCCAAGGGCCTTTCCTTGAGAGACCCTGGGGATGTGGGTTTCAGGGCTCAAAGCTTCAGGAAACACAGCTGCTCCATCTCCAACTGGAGGGTGCACAGCGCCCCTCCGCTCACTACAGACTGATGATCACCTGTCTCCAAACGGGGGTTGCACAGTGCCCCTCACCCACTTGAGACCGAAGATCGCTGGATGGAGACACAGACCTAGCACTGCTTATCCCTGGGGTCCCACCTGCAGTTCACGGGACCCTCAGTCCTCTCGGCTCCTGCCAGCACCACAGAACCATAGCATGAACTGCTGCTACCGTATTTGCAGGAAGTCCAGCAGGGAGAGCCCTCCTGCAATGGCCCCTGAGCCCCTCCAGTGATCCTGAGCCCCCTCCTGTGACTCTGAGCCCCCTCCTGTGACCCTAAGCCACTTCCTGTGACCCTGAGACCCATCCTGTGACCCTGAGACCCATCCTGTGACCCTGAGCCCCTCCAGTGATCCTGAGCCCCCTCCTTTGACCCTGAGCCCTACAGTGACCCTAAGCCACCTCCTGTGACCCTGAGACCTGTCCTGTGACCCTGAGCTCCTCCAGTGACCCTGAGACCTGTCCTGTGACCCTGAACCCCCCTCCTGTGACCGTGGACCCCCCTCTTGTGACCCTGGGCCCCCTCCTGTGACTCTGAGCCCCCTCCCGTGGCCCTGAGCCCCCTCCTGTGACCCTGGGCCCCCTCCTGTGACCCTGACCCCCCCGCCGAGTGGCCCTGGGCCCCCTCCCATGGATCCTGAACTTCCCTTTAGTGACCCTGAGCCCCCTCCCATGGCCCCGGAGTACCCCTCCCATGCGCTTTGTGCTCTGCAGCTATAGGTGCCCCTCTCTGACTTGAGGGGCTTCATGGGCTCTCTGACAGGAAGGGTTTCCTGAGCAATGTGCAGTGGAGGAGGGATGCAGGTGGACTGGGTTGAGCTGATTCAGAAACGACCCTGGCACTGCCCCAAGGCCAGAGCCAAACCGCCAGGCTCTCTCGGTCTCTGTGACCCCATCTGGAAACCATGGAGCTTGACCACAGGGGGATCCCACAGAGTCCCCCAGCTGAACCTCCCACCCTCCTCCACCCCAGGGCCAGAGAGGCGCAGGAGCAGGTGGGGAGGAGGCTGAGGACTGAGGGAGAGAGAGGGTGGCTGTGCACAGAGCCCCTCAGAGCAGCGTCTGCACGCATGTGTCTCCAGTGTGTGCAAACAGGAAGGGGCTCCAGGGCCCCTCTGACCCGGCAGTGCTGGTGCTGAGTGCTGCATGCCCATCTGCTTACTTTTCTCCCATGTCTCTGCTATGAAATGTGCTGCTTTGGCATCTTTAAGACCCATTATTCTCCACGATCACCACCTGTGAGTTGCCAGAACAAGCATGCATTTCCCTCCCAGAAAAATAATCAGCACTGAGACTACAGAATCCAGCCACTACCTTTTTAATGAGCTGAGCAGACTGGCTTTTAATTTATAGCAGCTTCTTAGCAGCCAGGGGAATATATTAGTTTTAATTTTTTTTTAAGAAACAAAAACAGTAGAATTGCTCTGTTCATAAAATCCAATCACAAGCAAGCCGTTCCATGAGGGGTGAATTAATTAGCACTACTTATTAAGGTTTTACTTCTATTGATTCATTCTGGTCCATCAATAATCTTAATTCACCCACAAAACCAATTCAGCTTAATAACCTGTACAAGGGAGTCAGGAAGTTGAGTTACCTATTACAATGTTGCAGCCCTGTTACCTGTTACAATGTTGCTGCCCATGGTTTCTCTTTTGACTTCTGTTTTTCTGTCAACTCAGCCCCTGAATCGCTGCCCCTGGATCTCCTGGCAGTGCCACTCAACATCCTGAGATCACCCCTCAAATCCTCTTTCCTCTCCACTCTGCCAACATAGCCCCTCCTGCCTTATGTCAGGTAACTGAAATAGCTGCCTCTTCCAGGCTGTATGTGTCCCCCGAATTCACAGGTTGAAGTCTGACCCCCAGGACCTCAGTTGACTGGGTTTGGAGGTGGGGTCTTTACAGAGATAATTAAGATAAAATGAGGTCTTTAGGGTGGACCCTACTCCAATCTGCATGGTGTCCTTATAAAAGCAGACGTTAGGACACAGACATGCACAGAGGGAGGACCCCGTGAGGACACAGGGAGACAGCAGGGTCTATAAGGACAGGGACCTTAGGAGGAACCAGCCCTGCCGACACCTTGACCTTGGACACCCAGCCTCCAAAACGCTGGGAACAGGAGTGTCTGTTCACCCAGCCTCCAAAACGCTGGGAACAGGAGTGTCTGTTCTCTGTGGTGCTTTCCAGGAAAGTCTAAGAAGACTTGTGCCACTTCTAACCCGTCCTCTGGCTCCCGTCGTCTGCCCAATTCTCTTTCCTAAAACTCCACCTTTCGCCATGTCCCCTCTGCTTTCAGCACCGGTTTCTCAATCTTCAACTCAAAGCCCTTGTCCCAGCCTGACACCTCATCATCTATGCAGGTTCGACTCATGTCCTCTGAGAAAATGCCCTCAAACCGGCTGTTTCCTTCATGCTGTGCATGTGTAAGAGGCTGTCCGTTCCGTGCTCTCGGCCCACATCACTTGTGGCTCCTCCTCGCTCAGCAGACGGCTCAGCTGGGAGGCGGGAGGGAAGGACGCCACCTTCCATGATTTGCAGCCTCAGGATTCCCTGTGTGGGTATCTAATTTTTTTCCTAAAGGTCTTTCAGATATAAGACACTTTGATCTTCAAAAAATGCCAGGGACATCACGGAGGTCTTGTCATTGTTTTAATGTAAGAAACAAAGGCCCCAAAAGGTTAAGAGATGTAGTTCATGACAGATGGAGGGTTAGCAGGACGTGTCTTGTGTCCTGCCCAGCGGCCATCTTACTGGGTGTCACTGACCTCTATGGCCAGTTGAGGAGCTGGCTGCAGCGGGCTCACTGGGCGGCAGGAGGGCCTCACAAGACCCCGTTGAGCTTGCAGCCCAGGGTGCCCCAGTCCTGGCCCCCATCATCTTGCCTTGAGGGGCTGGGTAGAGCACCGTCCTGCTGGGTGCCTGCTGCATGGAAAACCTCATAACGAGAACCCCAGCATTTTCCTCCTCAACCTCCCAAGGACACTGAGCTCTTCCTCAGGCCTAAGCAAGGAGGTGCAGAGTGCGCCTGGGCCTGGGAGGGGAAGGGGGAGGCCGCCGTGGCCACTGCATGATCCATTTTATTCACCTTCTCTAAGAAATGGACATCAGGGGACGGAATGAGAGTGAGGGTGGGGTGTTGGAGGCACCGGCCTGGCTCTCTGCTGATGGCACCTTTACTTTCTGCTGTGTACTTCGGCCTCACCAGTTTCCGCTCCACACTCAACACATCCCCAAGCTCTTCTGTGACATGAGGAGAAATGGGGGAAGGCCCTTTTATCCCAGGCAGCAGCCATTGACAGCTGGTGCACATGGGGTGGGGAGTTGCAACCTGAGCACAGTTGAGTGCCGGTGACAGCCCCACCGGGGCTCATCCAAGCTGTCCTTTCCCAGCTGAGAGCCCTGGTCCCCTGGCTCACTGAGCCCCTCATCCCCATCAGTGACAGGGACAGGCCCACCCCAGACAAGCACACAGAGCCACTGTCTGCCTCCAAACAAACGTCAGCAGATGCATCCTCTGTTCATTTACTGGCCTCCTGAACTGAAGCCCAAAGCCCTGTTCTGAGCTCCACCTCTGCTGAGAGCTCGCTGGCCTGCAGGAGCCTGGGCTGCTGAAGCCAACCCTCTCACAGGCTGGGGCCACTCTGGCCATGTAAATGAGCACTCGGGGGCAGTGGATGTGGAGAAAGGTCACCGCTGCAGGAAAAGACCTGCCTACAGTGCTGCAGTAGGGTGTGTGAGTGAGCCAAGCAGGGAAACGCTGTACGTGGGTGCAGAAGAGCACTAGGAGCATTTGGGGGCCCAGAAGCACCAGCAGCAAATGTCCACGCAGGGGAAGTCCTGGCTCAGGATGGCCCCTGGGGAGCCCAGGCTGCAGCACCTGCTCTCTGGATCCTCCCACTCAGTGACCTCCTCTTCACTGCCCTTCTTCCCCAGCCCTCTCTCTTAACAAAGCTTTGTGTTTATTTTCTTCTTTATCTACTATTTACTGAGGGCTCAGTATTATGCCAAGTTCTGCCCACATCCTACCCAGTCAGTACTCAGCCCAGCATGGCGCAGAGGTGGTCCTTCCATTTTATAAGTGAGAATGACAAGACTTGGGCACTTGTCTCTTCTATACAAACCAACATGCTACAAAACAAAACAAACACCCTCACAGTCATTCAGATGGACGAGAAAGGGCACCCACCGTCAGTTCCTGAAGAGCCTCCTGCAGCCATTTTTATCTTCCCTCTTCTATATGCTGGTGGCGTCACAGCATAGCTGCCTGATGCCTGCCTGGCTCAGCCCTGTAGAGACCTGAGATAAACAGGTGCCCACTCACCTGCACACGCACCTGCAAGCTCACCTGTTCACTCATCTTCACACTCACCTGCCTTCTCACCAGCACACTCACCTGCATACTCACCTGCCTACTCACTTGTACACTCACCTGCACACTCACCAGCACACTCACCTGCCTACTCGCCTGCACACTCACCTGCACACTCACCTGTCCACTCACCTGCACACTCACCTGCCTACTCACCTGTCCACTCACCTGCACACTCACCAGCACACTCACCTGTCCACTCACCTGCACACTCCCCTGTCCACTCACCTGCACACTCACTTGCCTACTCACCTTTCCACTCAGCAGCACACTCACCTGCACACTCACCAGCACACTCACCTGCACACTCACCTGCCTACTCACCTGTCCGCTCACCAGCATATCACCTGCCTACTCACCTTTCCACTCACCAGCACACTCACCTGCCTACTCGCCTGCACACTCACCTGCATACTCACCTGCCCACTCACCAGCATATCACCTGCATACTCACCTGTCCACTCACCTGTCCACTCACCAGCATATCACCTGCCTACTCACCTGTCCACTCACCTGCACACTCACCTGTCCATTCACCTGCACACTCACCAGCACACTCACCTGTCCACTCACCTGTCCACTCACCTGCACACTCACCTGCACACTCACCTGTCCACTCACCTGCATACTCACCTGCCTGCTCGCCTGCACTCTCACCTCTGCAACTAAATGAAAGGGGAGATGAAAGAGGGAGTCCTGATACCCACGTATCTGGCTTCATAGCTCCTCAGGAACTGCAGCTGCCACAATATCCACAATTCTTACTCATTTGCAGCAGAAAAACATTTCAAATCCCAGTGGTGATTTTGCTTTGAACAACTCCACACCATTTATCTGTTTTACTTCCTAAATTTATAATGAGAAAATATCACAGAACACAAACATGATTGAAATAAACTATAGTATCAGTATCAAGCACCAAGCAAATATTTTCATGAAATTGTAAACAAAACCTGTCATACAGGCTTTTTTTAAAAAAAAAAAAGTAAAAATAGATCAAAAGTTACACTTCTAAAAGTATACAGTATGATCCCAGTTTTGCTCTGCAGTAAAGTGTGTGTCTCCTTTGCTGGATGGCAGATGTTCAAATGCGAGGGCCTTCAAGAAAAGACTTTAGAGTGGGCTTTCTTTTAACTCCACCTTAATTCTGAGTGCATTAAAAATTATTCTTAGAAATGCTGATTCTTTCACATCATTCGATATTTATTTATTGGAATAAATAAATGGAATCAATTCAATTCCATGAAACTGGAAGACCCAATGACAGGTTTTGTCTGGGAGGCAGGAGACCCTAAAGCCCAGCAGGTGTTTGCCCTGAGTTCCCCATTGGCCAGACTGTGCTCTCAGATGATTGGAGCAGCAGCCTCTCCTGCACCTGTCACTCAAGTCCTCCGGTTTCCAGGATGCGGGCTCCCATCCTCCTGGAAGTTTCCAGCATGCGGTGTTCTCTCTGTGTCCCCACTCAGGTCCAGCGCCCCCCTGTCCCTGTGGGTTCCTATCTGCCCCGTCCTCCCAGCCACTACAATAACCAGCCCCCATGCCTTTCCGAAGCACTAGCAGGACTCACTTTGGTCTTTTGCCTGTCAGAATCCCCATCTTCTCCCATAGTTGTGCCCTCCTGACTCACCCACTGCTGTGACAGGCCAGGGGGCATGAGACTCTCTGGTGAGAGAAATGATGTAAGACTGCCACATGATCTGAGGCAAAAGGTCTGTGCTTCAGCTGAGGCTTCACCAAGAAATCAGCAAATCCTGAAGCCACCAGGCTTAGAGACACACTCGGGAGGGAGGCCTTTCCTGCCGTGCGGTGAGCATGGTGCCTGCCCGTCCTGCTTCCCCTCCACTGTCACTGGGCATTCTACCCAGCACCTCGCAGGTGCAGGTGCTGGGGGACCCAAAAGGGAGAAAGCCGTGGTTAATCAGCCCAGGTAGCAACCGCCAAGGGGGAGAGACAGCAAAGCAAACACATGTGTTTAGTACATCTTAAAAAAAAGCAGTCTCGAGCTAAATCCTAGTGTATATTCACCATACCGCAAACATTTTTAAATAGTGGCACACTCAACTTCAACATATACTGTTAAAAAATAAAACCGCACAAATCGATATGTCATAAGTGGATGCATTTAACATCTTCTAAATTATACTGAAGTTTTAAGGTAATTTTAACGTATATACGTTTGTATGTGAATGAGACAACAAATCTTGTTCTCGGTGCCAAAAATCAATATATGTAGTTTTCATGTCAGGAGAAACTGCTACTTTCAAAATGGAGTTCCCAGACATGGTTTAGTAATATATTCAAGGAAGAAAACAGTGACCAACAATGTGAATTATTTTTGGTTTCCTTTTTGATTTAAATAATAATTGTCAATGTCCCAAGGCAGTATAAAAATGTAGGGATAAAAAACAAGCAGTGCCAAATGCTGCCATTCTTTTAGGACGTCATTTATAAGAAAGTCTTGAGCATAATATCATAGTATTTTGAGCAGTATTACATTTTTTTAAAAAAAAATGATACTTTAGAAAATAATTTCTATGTGTCTAGAGTATGAAGGCAAAATATGATCAAATTTATGGCCAATTAAACCCTAAACTGATTTTAAGATATGACAAATGGTTGCATTTAATTTCTAAAAAGGAGACAGGTGCGAATATAGAAATGCTTACTTCCAAAGGCCTCCTCCTCTGCAGCTCATCAGAACAGAATTTAAGAATAAAATCAGAAGCTGAAAAATAGACGGAGTCAGAACCCAGAGGCAACCTTTGCTGACCTCGTTAGGTGTTGGGTAAACCAGCCACGCTCCCTCTGGGAATGAGAGAGGATTGCTCCCCAACTGCCCATCCTCTCTACATGCCTCCTGCTGCTCACGTTCTGCAGGCTGGGGGTTCATGACACAGGCTGTGTGTCTGGTGCCACACGATGGGCAAGAAACAGCAAAGAAGCAGCCGCTGCTGGAGGCCACTGGGTACATTCTGGATCCAGTTCTCTCTCTCTGTCTCTCTCTCTCGCTCTCTGTCTCTCCCCCGCCACCACCTTCTCTTTTGGTCACTGTCTCTCTCTCTGCCTCTGTCTCTGCCTCTCTCTCTCTCTGTCCCTCTCCTTATATATCTCTGTCTCTCTCTGACTCTCTGTCTCTCTCTTTGTCTCTGTCTCTTTCTTTATATCCCTGTCTCTCTCTGTCTGTCTCTGTGTGTCTGTCTCTGTCTCTCTTTCTCTCTGTCTCTCTATCTCTGTCCCGCTCTGTCTCTGTCTCTCTGTGTCTCTCTCTCACCATCTCGCCTCGCCTTCTAATGGGCGCATCTCCTGTCTCAGATCCTTCCAGGTCATCATACAAATCGTAACTTATTCACTTGGGGAACTGAACTAGCCACAGAGGCTCAAGACAAATGGGGGATTCTGCCGTGTGTGCTTTGTCCATTTAGCTCATAGATAGATAGATAGATAGATAGATAGATAGATAGATAGATAGAGATAGAGACATATAGATATATGCACACAGAAGTTTAGATTCAAAAGTCAGCATTTCAGGAGTTGGGCCCAGTGTCAGTAAATCAGATCTGCTTACCTGTCCAAGGGCCTGGTCTCCAAACTCCTTAGGAAACAGTGACATTTTAACTCCATGTGAAGACCTCCAGCTTTCTTTCCTTCCTTCCTTCCTCCCTCCCTCCCTCCTTTCCTCCTTCCTCTCTTTTTTCTTTCTTCCTTCCTTCTTTTCTTTCTTTCTTTTCTTTCTTCTTTCATCTTTTTGGTATTTTTTAAACTATTAACTTGGCAAATAGCCTTTTACTAAAACCACAGACTTCTGGGTTCACGTGGGCAGGTTGACTGGTGAGAAGTTTGGTTGCGGGGAGCCAGTGTCTGCGGAGACGGCCCCGCAGCTGGACCGTGTGTTCGCTGAGGCCCCTCCGGCTGGACCATCGGTGCTGCTTTTCTGTGCTGCTGGTGCAGGAGCCCTTCCTTCCCTCCGCCTCCCCGCTGAGCGTTTCCTGGCAGCCGTGGTCCCAAGCTCCATCTAGACCAATATAGGACACCAGGGCAGAGTCAGGACAGCGGAGGCCTGGCCAAGCCTCTGTTGAAACTCCTCAGCTATGTCAAGGGTTCCCCAGTGGCGGCTCAGGCCCTGCGAGGTGACACTGTTCCCCGGGTGGTTTGCACTGCGCCGTCTCTCACTGGTCACTGAGATGATTCAGTATTCTTCAGTTGTGTTTCCTGTGAACCTGTTTAAGTTTCCTGTGAGTTAGAGAGAATGGCAGCTGCTGCTGTGTGACACAGGTTCCCAAGGATCGAGCTGCTCCAGATGGGGTGATGCCGTGCCATCAACGGTGTCTCTGAGCTGCTCCCGCAGGCAGGAGGCAAAGGGCACTCCGAGGAGTCAGGATCAGATCCCGGGCCTGTCTGGCTGCTAAACACCTTGGCCTCGAGTGAGGCACATAACCATCCATTCCTCAGTTTCCCATTCCTTCAACAAACGCTCTTTGAGCCCCTGCTGTGCGCATGGTAGTGGACGAATCCTTGTGAGGAAGATAGTGGTGAGGAAGAGAGGATAAAAGAAGGTCTGCCTCCAAGACATCGAGCATCAGCAGCCTCGAAGTCAGCAGTGCCCTGGTAGGGCTGTGGAGGCACCTGGGCAGAGCTAAGAGGCACAAGCACGAAGCCTCCATGCCTGGCCACGTCCTGTGTCCTGGCATGAAGTCCCCTGGCAGGGGCTGACCGTCCTTTCATTTTCTCTTCAGAGTGGGGGCAGTTTGCTTTGGGTCCCGACAGATTGATGGAAGGATTGTGGCCAGTGAGGGTCCCCTGGCCTGGGAGAGTGGGAGGGACAGACCTGGGATGTGAACCTTGGGCAAGGTGCAGAGACCCATGCTAAAGCCAACACCCACAGCCACATCCAGGCACCACCCATCCCACCGCACTGGGTTCACGCCTGCGAGCTCAAAGCACGTTGGGAGAAAGAGCATCTAGAAAGTACTGGGTCATCTCAGGCTTCTTGGAAAAGGATTTGAAGTGGACGGGCAGGTTTTCAAAAGACCAGACTCCAATCTTCCAAATGCACAGGCATCAGTGTGAGCAGGTCTGCTTCTCGGTGGGGGGAGGACCCACAGACTTCCTCTGAGCATCACAGGGACCCCCAGTCACCCTCAGCCTCACCCACATGGGTGCCCACTGGCCTTCCTACTGTTCGTCCTTCGCTCTCTAAACTTCCACAATTCTAAGTCTGCTCTGAAGTCTAAACTAAAGAGAATACAATTAAGAATTCTTACTTACATTGTATTTCTAAAACCCCAGGGTTTTTATTTTCTTTCCTGACAGGTGTGTTGTATATTTATACTTCTTCATTTCTGATCTTCCTATTAATTTTAAGTCAATTATAGTGACATTATTTTCTGTTCATAAAAATTGCTTTAGCCAGATGTTAGAATTTTAAAGAATGTAGTTATATGGAAGCACACATTTAAGAAAGGAACATATACATGCATGGAATTTTGCAGTTAAAATCGTTATATGTAGATAAACAATATATAGAAGAGTTAAACAGGATATGTAAAACTAAATAGTGTATAATTCAGCCTCCAGTTTAGAATGCAATCACCACATCTAACAAAGTGACACAAATTTTTTAACTAATGATTTGAGTTGCAATTTCTCTCATTGAATCTGCCATCTGCTATTAGAAAATATACATCACTGAATCACATACAATTGTTCTACTGAAAAATGAAGGCACTTCTTTTTCCCCACAGTAACCACTAAAACGCTGTCCATTATTTCCAAATTACTTTCTCGTGTGCACAGCTATTGAGGGAAAGCAATTAGGATTTCATGGTACCTGGTCTTTAGAGTAGCAACTTGGGAAAACAAATTAGAATTGCTAACGAAAGAGAAAAAACAATTTCTTAGTACCGTTCTTTAAAGGAGACACATGTGTAGACTGAAAATATGAATCCTTTTCTAAACCAGGATGCTGTTAAGTGGGCAAGGGGTGCTAGCAGAAATTACATGGTACGGGGACAAAAGCTGGGTCTGTCCCTGGCAAATCCAACAACTGCTAACCCTGGGTATGTGACATGACAGTGAAAGCTTCACAGGAAGTAAACCATCTTACAAACAATTACAAAATATTCTCAACTAGATACACACACACTCACTGTACACAGGGGAGTTTTTTTTTTTTTTTTTTTTTTTTTTTTTTTTTTTTTTTTTTTTTTTGCTAGACTGAGCTCAACCTAGAGGAGAAGTAACGATGAGAAAAGTATTAAGATCTTTTAACTCTGTCCTTCTCAGACCAGCCTACATGGAGGGCTCTGCAATCCTGGCTTCCTTTGCTTGCAGAGTTAAGCTGAGACGGTGATGGCTGATAGGGTGGGGTGCAGAGTTACAGGCAGGACCAGAGCAGGCAATGCTGCCCACCACGGAGAAGCGCGTGAACACACCGAACCTCCAAGACAGATGACCGAAATGTCCCTTCTTTCCAGGAATCTTCTTCGGATAAAATACTCATTCCTAATACTTTGATGAAATAAGTGTCTTTGGCATACCACAAACACAGTGTATAGTCAGCCGGGACAAATTGTGGAAAACAGGAGGAAAAAGCTGCTTGCCCTCACTCGACAGAGTAAGGTAAATTATTCTAGGTGGCCAAATTCTAGTATTCAAATCTCTCTTTTCCTGGGTGGCAGAAGTCAGACGCCTTTCAAAAATGCTCCCTAATTGTTTCTAAGGCCCCCAAGAGATTGGCCCCTTTCCCTGCTGCCTCCCCTCAGCCTCTTCTCCTCTTGTGGACACTTTCAGTTCCATTTCAGAAATTCCAAGTATATCCATGGATCTAAAAAGATAGACAGCACCGGAGAAGACAGCGTGCTTAGAGAAGGGGGAGGGGAGGCATAACATTACATGCATACCCATGTATTTATAGTGGTTCATGAAGACGCATTCGATCTGTGTTGCAGGCAATGATTTTTCCTGGAATTAGATTAAAACAGAAAAAGACACAATAAGAGGTTTCTTGTGTCTTTTGTATAAAGAAACCAGAATAATGCACATAAATATATCCAAAGTTGTAGACTGAGAGACATACAGATGATCATGGGGCAAATTACAGGCCAGAGCACAATGAGAGGTCCAGAACCTAAAATGTTATCAAGCAAATTTCACAGAAGACCTGGTGCCAGCGTAATCAGAAGGACAGGAATGGTATCATTCCAGGCGAGGAGAGCGGAGAGCCCTGCACGGGAGGGAGGGGAAGGCACCGGTGCTGCTGCACGTCGGCCCCCAGGCCAGGTGGGATGCAGGTCTACGGCCGAGGCCAGGCCTGAATCGCTGGAGGAGCCATTGCTCAAATTCTCTAGAAATTAGATGAATTGAGATCACAGGAATCTTGAATTCACCCTGCGGCCCACTGACCCTAAGAGCTGTTAAGGCAAAAGGCATTGCTATTATTACAAAGCTCTGGGTTTGTTTTAAAGGCAGAAATTAAAAAAAAAAAAAAGGTAATAAAAGTAAAATCACCTGTTGTTTCCTGACTTTTTAATGATTGCCATTCTAACTGGTGTGAGATGGTATCTCGCTGTGGTTTTGATTTGCATTTCTCTGATGGCCAGTGATGGTGAGCATTTTTTCATGTGTTTTTTGGCTGCATAAATGTCTTCTTTTGAGAAGTGTCTGTTCATGACCTTTGCCCACTTTTTGATGGGGTTGTTTGTTTTTTTCTTGTAAATTTGTTTGAGTTCATTGTAGATTCTGGATATTAGCCCTTTGTCAGATGAGTAGGTTGCAAAAATTTTCTCCCATTTTGTAGGTTGCCTGTTCACTCTGATGGTAGTTTCTTTTGCTGTGCAGAAGCTCTTTAGTTTAATTAGATCCCATTTGTCAATTCTGGCTTTTGTTGCCATTGCTTTTGGTGTTTTAGACATGAAGTCCTTGCCCATGCATATGTCCTGAATGGTAATGCCTAGGTTTTCTTCTAGGGTTTTTATGGTTTTAGGTCTAACGTTGGATGTGGAGAAATAGGAACACTTTTACACTGTTGGTGGGACTGTAAGCTAGTTCAACCATTGTGGAAGTCAGTGTGGCGATTCCTCAGGGATCTAGAACTAGAAATACCATTTGACCCAGCCATCCTATTACTGGGTATATACCCAATGGACTATAAATCATGTTGCTATAAAGACACCTGCACACGTATGTTTATTGCGGCATTATTCACAATAGCAAAGACTTGGAACCAACCCAAATGTCCAACAATGATAGACTGGATTAAGAAAATGTGGCACATATACACCATGGAATACTATGCAGCCATAAAAAATGATGAGTTCATGTCCTTTGTAGGGACATGGATGAAATTGGAAATCATCATTCTCAGTAAACTATCGCAAGAACAAAAAACCAAACACCGCATATTCTCACTCATAGGTAGGAATTGAACAATGAGAACACATGGACACAGGAAGGGGAACATCACACTCTGAGGACTGTTGTGGGGTGGGGGGAGGGGGGAGGGATAGCACTGGGAGATATACCTAATGCTAGATGACGAGTTAGTGGGTGCAGTGCACCAGCATGGCACATGTATACATATGTAACTGACCTGCACATTGTGCACATGTACCCTAAAACTTAAAGTATAATAATAATAAAAAAAAAAGTAAAATGAAATGTCCTATAGAGACAGGGAGTGCTCTCTCTTCCTCAAGTCAGCCTTCTGTTTGTTCCATAAACTGGCGCGATTATAGTAGTGGCCTTATATTCATTCAACAAAATTTCATCAGTGGCCTCTTAATAATTAAGTGGCCAAGGAGGATAAGATGATTAAGCTAAGCTATAGCCAGCAGCAAGCATCTGATGTGGGAGATGGATGCAGGAGGTCATATGAGGGGGACGCAGGGACACACATGAGCACCTTAGAGCAACCACGTTCTCACCATAGGCAGATCTAAAGGGTGTGGGAGATCTTGTGGGGAGGATGCAGGGATACACGTCCGCACCTTAGGGGGACCACGTTCTCACCATGGACAGCTCTAAAGGGAGCGGGAGGTCACCTGGGGAGTCGCAGGGACAGAGGTCAGCACCTTAGAGGGACCACGTTCTCACCCTGGACAGCTCAAAGGGTGCGGGAGGTCACATGTGGAGGACACAGGGACTCACGTCAGCACCTTAGGGAGACCACGTTCTCACCCTGGACAGCTCAAAGGGTTCAGGAGGTCACGTGCGGAGGACACAGGGACTCAAGTCAGCACCTTAAGTGAATGACGTTCTCACCACAGACAGTGCCACAGGGTGCGGGAGCTCAGCATGAGAAGTGCTTCTTTCTGGCTGAGAGATTAAGGAAACATTTGTTGAAGGAGCAATTGAAGAAGAGGAAGAATAGTAATAACAACTTCAATCATATTTCTTGAGTCTCTGCCATGAGGGACACCACTGTCACCTGCATTGTCTCCAGCCCATGCAGTGGCCTCCCCACACCCCTGCAAGGGCAAAGGCCTGACCTTGGCTGTCCTACTGAAGAACGTGAGGCAAAGAAGTGAAGTGGCCTGCCCATCATGGCAGGCTGGTAACTGGCAGAACCATGATTTGAATTCAGGTCTAGCCCAATGCCGAGGGCCAGCCTCCAGGAAGTATTCCAACCAGGGGGGTGTCATTCTCCTTTTTAGGAATATTCAATAGCACCTACTATATGCTAGGCCTTATCACAGGTGCTGGAGATAAATGAGCGATTACAGATCGTAACTGGCATGTACTGAGCCAGTTCCAGGGAGACAGCTCATGACTGCACCGCATATACCTGACAGGCTAGATTTTGTTGTCTGACACTTGAGGAGCAGGTTCAGAAATGCTGGGAACCTTTTCTCCCAGTGATGGAGTGAGGCTCGTAACTAGGAGGGTCTGATGGCAGAGCCCCGATCCTAACCTCTTTGTCCTGCGACTTTTGACCCTGCCAGAAAGAAACGGCAGCTGCACAAGTGATGAGGGCCTCATGTGATGAGGGCTGGGAGGGACATGGATTGGCAGCATGAGCCGAACACGCTCACAGGAGAATGGCCAGATCTAGGGGCCCGGAGGTGAATGCTCAAGGTGAACAAAAGCTGACTGGGCTTGGGAGGGGGTTGGGCGGGGTGAGAGGGGCTGCTCCAGGCAGAAGAACCAAGGGTCCCTGAGAAGAGAGGACACGTGGCGGGGGCCCCTGAGAACCGCACTGTGAATGGCCAGAGGGAGACGGGTTCCGGCTGAGGCAGGACCACTCCTGGGAGGCGATGAGCTCGGAAGCTGGGGCTGCACCCAGAGGTGACTGCAGTTCACAGAAGCATTTTAGCAGGATCTGATTTGCATATTTCCAGGGCTTCTAGGCATCAGGAGCAAAGACACGATGTGGCAATCCTGGTTGCATGGGCAAGAGTGGGAGAGGGGAAGTGGAGTGAGCATGAAGTGGCTGCCGAGGGAGCGGCGGTGCTGGGGAAAGCGGCTCTAGGCCACATCGGGAGGATCCTGAGTGCCAAGGAGCCCCTGAAGGTCTTCGGGCAGGAGGAGCCTCTCAGACCTCCACCTGGGGGGAGTTCTAGGGTACGGTGCATGAGATTCATTTAGGAAGCTCTTATCAGCATCCAGGATCAGGCCCAGCAGCTGCATGGGGGACCAGGTGGAGAGAGGGGTGGACTGGCAGGTTCCGGCAACTCCCCCAAATCTGGGATTAAGAAAAGGCTCCGAAATGATCATATGGTTCTCAGCCTGGGTGAACAGAGAAGGGGTCTAATTTGGTCTTTTGTTCATTTTGTTTTGTCTTGTTAAATCTTCAGTGCTTGAAACAGTGGTGAGCCCATCATAAACCCTCAGGAAATAGTTGTTGAAGAATATGTTGAATGCTGTATGAAGTCAATTCCAAAAAACTAGGCAGTCAAGGAAATGAGCAAGTTTGGGACTGATGAAAATAAATTCATGTATCTGTACCTTGCATTTGAAGCACAAGTTGTCTGGGTCTATGACATCCAGTCCCGCAGCCAGGGCACACGTGCCAATTACACACTCAGAGCTGGGCAGGTCTGGAGAGAGAGGGGCTGCCAGTGACCCACACACAACACATTTCAAAGAAAAAATGAATTTCAAGTATCTCCTTGATGTCTTTATATTGATTACAAGTTGATATAATCATGTTTTGGACATACTGGGATGATAAAATTTATTATTAAAATTAGTTTCACTTGTGTTTTTTACTGAGCATCTAGAAAATTTAGTGGTACCCCTGTGGCTCACGTTACGTTTCTGTTGGACGGTGAGTGAGGATCTGAAACTCTAGGTCAGGTATTTAGAAACCCAAGTCTGTAGTACACGAGGCCCTCACTGGAGAAAGAGAGGCAAGGTTGCCCTGCATTTTGGCAAGACGTATTTGGAAGAGAGGACATTTTCTCTCTGTGTACCTTATTCAAAGGCAAGGGTTTCCTGCAGGTCTTCAAACTCCCTGCAACAGCCAGCTGCCCAGTCTGGGGCTCGGTGTAGACAGATGACCGTCCACAAGTCCCTGGGAGGCTGCGTCTGCTCCGACATCCTCGGCTCCTGACCCTGCTTGCCTGCCTGGGCGAGAGTGTGGCTTTTTCTGCCTGTCCTGACTTCCCTGACTGCAGTCTTACAATTGCCTGGACTTTCCAGGACTGCCAGACTCTCCAGCTTTGCTGGAGAACTCTCCAATCCAACCCACCCCCCGTGTGTTCACGCGTGTGTGACGACCCAGGGTGCCCCCCGTGTGTTCACGCGTGTGTGACGACCCAGGGTGCCCCCCGTGTGTTCACGCGTGTGTGACGACCCAGGGTGCCCCCCGTGTGTTCACGCGTGTGTGACGACCCAGGGTGCGCCTCGTGATGACCCAGGGTGCACCAGGGTCATTGAAATGCATCCTTCTCGTCTGATTTTCTGCTGCATGTGATGGGTGAAAGAAGTTGTTAAACTCTTGCTGCTTTTTACTAAAACGAATGTGGTTTTGATCAAATAATGTTTCTAATTAATCACTCCTGACCTCTTGGCAGGAACAAGGGAGAAAGTAGATCCTATTCTTTTCAAGGCTGCATTTCAGGAACAGGCTTCAGTTGGGGGGTCCAGAAAAACACAAACATTTGGCTCTCTTTTCTTTTCAGGAATTTTTAGAGAAATGCATTAGGGAGCCGACTAGTCTGGGAATCTTAGGATTTGTTAGATAAGTAATCCAAGTTGGCCTTGGAAGACGAAAATCTCACATCTTAACCTTTGTCCTAGATATGAAAATAGGTTGTTTACACTGACAGTTTTCACCTGCCGTCCACGCAGTGGGATTCCTCACTCAGATCTGATGCGGAGCCCAGGGTTCTTTAACAATCAGAAGCCCGCTGCTCCCCCGAGGGTGAGGACACGCTTCTGAGAAGCCGCCCATCTCTAGCGATGATGAGAATGTCACCGCAACATGGGCTCCTCTTTATAAACTGTTTTTGCTTGCTTAGTCCTATCATTTTTACTTCCTGCTCCAACAAGAAAAGACCTGTCAAATCTACAGAAAACCCTATGAAATTTCTTAAAATGTGTAAAATCATCAGTCAACCGAGGGCAGGACTGTGGAGTCGCTAAGCGAGGCATTTGTTTTCTGGTGTGATTCTCGCCCTGTTCCTCCACCGCTGACCTCAGCACCACCCCCCACCGGCCCAGGCTCCTCCTGACCGTCTTGTGTCAAAATCTGAACTAGGATCTGCTTGTCAGCACCCATCCCCTGTCACGGTAGCTTAAGTGCCACATCTCCAGAGGGCATCTGTCCTTTGAGCCAGGCCAGTGGTGGAAGAGAAGTCCCCTATCTCGGGGGCACAGGCGTCCACCCAGTGGACCAGCCTCTGGAGGACCCTCCCCAGGGAATGTGACCCGTGTCACTTGCAGGATCTTAGAGAGACTCCGACCTCACCACGCACGTTAGCATCTCAGGACCCTTGACACCTTGTCGGGGACAGCTCCAAGAGCCAGTGATCACAGCCCTTATCAGCCAAAACCCATATCCACACTGCAACATGATCTGTTCAGCCCTCTTTCCTCTCCCACAGCAATGTGTATTTCCATAAAAGCAGCAGAGTCCTGGGTGGGGAGAAGCAAGTATCTGGCATTTATCTTGGAAACCACATCATTCTCTCTTGAGCTTGGATTTGACAGGCCCTGCAGCTGAAGTGCATCAGTGTCTTAAAGCCTCATGTGGATGTGTACGTGGACTGTCTCAGCACTGGGGATGCGATTGAGAGACTTTATCCGCCTTTCCCAAGCCTCAAAAGCAGTGCCAGACACAGACACCAGATGTACATGTGCCAGGCTTTGAGTCCAAACGTGAACAAACCAGCCCACTGTTGGTTCTCATGGAACATAAACATCCACGCATAAAACAGAAACACATGCATGTTATGCTGGGAAGTGGTCATGGCTCTGAAGAAAAATAAGGCAAGCTGAGCACCCATGGAGGGGCGCAGAGGTGGGATTCGAGTTTAGATGGAGCATGCGGGGGCTGAGCACCCACGGAGTGGGGCGGAGGTGGGATTCGAGTTTAGATGGAGCATGCGGGGGCTGAGCACCCACAGAAGGGGGCAGAGGTGGGATGTGGATTTAGATGGGGCATGGGGGTGCTGAGCACCCACGGAGGGGGGCAGAGGTGGGATTCGAGTTTAGATGGAGCATGCAGGGGCTGAGCACCCACAGAAGGGGACAGAGGTGGGATGCAGATTTAGATGGGGTGCGTGGGGGCTGAGCACCCACAGAAGGGGACAGAGGTGGGATGCAGATTTAGATGGGGTGTGTGGGGGCTGAGCACCCACGGAGGGGGGCAGAGGTGGGATGTGGATTTAGATGGGGCATGGGGGTGCTGAGCACCCACGGAGGGGGGCAGAGGTGGGATTCGAGTTTAGATGGAGCATGCGGGGGCTGAGCACCCACAGAATGGGACAGAGGTGGGATGCGGATTTAGATGGGGTGCGTGGGGGCTGAGCACCCACGGAGGGGGGACAGAGGTGGGATGTGGATTTAGATGGAGCATGCGGGGTCTGAGCACCCATGGAGGGGGGCAGAGGTGGGATGAAGATTTAGATGGGGCACGCGGGGTCTCTCCGGGGAGACGGTGCCCAGGCACAGCCTGGGGGTGGGAAGGATGGAGACGTGAGGGTTCCAGAGTCACGGGGTCCAGGAAGCTCCTTTCTTCTTTGCTCCATGAAAAGCATGGAAGCCACGCTCACTGCTGGGCCTGGGGTGATGCCACTGAGGCTGGGAACTCAGCTGCTTGCAGCTGCTTTAAAAGGAGGGCAGGGAATGTGGCAGCCACAGATGCTGGAAGAACATGGATTTTGTTTTGTTTTGTTTTGTTTTTAGATAGGGTCTCCCTCTGCTGTGCAGGCTGGAGTGCAGTGGCGCAACCTCAGCTCACCGCAACCTCAGCTCACCGCAACCTCCGCCTCCCGGGTTCAAACGATTCTCATGTCTCAGGCTCCAGAGTACCTGGGATTACAGATGCCCACCACTACCCCCAGCTAATTTTTTGTGTGTGTATTTTGTATTAGAGATGGGGTTTCACCATGTTGGTCAGGCTGGTCTCGAACACCTGGCCTCAGGTGATCCACCCGCCTGGGTCTCCCAAAGTGCTGGGATTACAGGTGTGAGCCACTGCACCCGGCCCGGAAGTTCTTTTGATAAAATAAACAAATGTGGGCAACAGCTCGGAATTAGGAAGGTGAAGAACTGTTGGAGGCTTTGTTGAGCCTGGAAATTGCAAAATAGCTGCCTGGGAAAACAGAATTATAAATTAACCAGGAAATGTGCTGGACTGGCGGGAAGCGTGGGGCCTGTTGGAGGACCGTGGCTGCGAATTTTAGGCGACTCCAGGTGGCAGGGTTTGCCGTTTCCCTCCAGCCAGGTTTCAAGGAGCCTGGCTGACGGGTTGAGAGTTGGAGCTGCCAGGGTCAAGGTCACTCCAAGGTCACTCCCAGGTCCAGGTGCACTTGACAGAGGAGGGACAGGCAGGAGCCCAGCACCAAGGGGAGGACGGGGAGTCAGACGAGGTGGTGGCTGGGCAAAGATGGGGGCACCATGGACTGGACACAGTGGCTGGGTAAAGATGGGAGCACAGTCGACTGGACATGGTGACTGGGCAAAGACGGGGGGCGCCATGGACTGGACACCTGAAACTGAGGCAATGGAAGGAAAGAGGTACCCTCGGACAGTGGGATGCTTAAACTGAGGTTTCCAAGGAGGGACAGGTTTTGGTGATGACCACAGGACTCAAGAAGAAAAGTGAGATGCAGGACAAGATTCCTGGAGGTGAAAATTGTCTGGATTAAAGACCAAGTTATTACCTTCATAAATATTGAGGTCACCAAAAATAGTGATAGGAATAGAGGTCAAAAGAGGCCTCATTCAGGTACCAAACCTTCCCCCATGAGGAGGGGTTGTGCAGAAAATCTGCAGCAGAGCAAGTGTCTGCAGCATATGCTTCCAGGGACAGAGCTGTGGTCAGGGGCAGGAAGATCTGGGGTCTTCCTGGGGGCCGGCTGGCTCCCACACAACTCTGTTGACATGGGCAGGCAGGGTGGATGTGCCCTCTGGTCCCGGTTTGCTGAGCTCTGGTTGCAGCCGGGGTACTTGGAGCGCAATGTGATGTGAGAACAGACATCAGGGCATCCTCGACAGCTGCAAAAGAGACAGAAAAAAGCAAATGCTCAGGCCCTCCCCAGACCATGGAGTCGAAATCTCCAGTTAATAAGATCCCAGGTGATTCGAATGCACAGCAAAGTTTGCGAAGCACCAGCAGGGAGTAAGAGGGAAGGGAATATTTAGAGACAAGGAGGAAGACGTAGAGCATTTTTGCTGGCAGGACTCTGGAATCGGCACAGGGTAGAGTTGGGAATTGCTTCACCAAGAAAAGTGGAAACACAAATCCAAGATTTCCTACACAATGCATCTATCCCCTTCCTCTTATAGAACCCCCTCAAGCAAAGGGATTTGTCCCCCAGTAAAGAAATTTAAAAAAAAAAAAAAAGACTTTTTGTTTGAGAGGAAGGCTTTCTTTGAAGGTGCTCTTGGTGGGGTGAAGAGGAAAGGAAGCCATGGAGCCCTGAAGCCGTGTCCTCGTTTCCCAGCCACGGGAAGGTGCCCCCTCATCCTGGGAATTTCGTCACTTGAGCATCATATTAAACAGTGTGAGGAATTGAAGGATTCCAGACCCTAATCTCTAAGAGCTGATAATTCAGAATATATGAAAGACAGACAAAGAAAAACACAATTTCTTATGTTCAAATGTTTCCCCATTCTTTCATTAACATGCACAACATGTATGTTTTCAGTTTTTTGTTTTGTTTTGTTTTTTGAGACAGATTCTCACTCTGTCACCCAGGCTGGAGTGCAGTGGTGTGATCTCGGCTCACTGCAACCTCCATCTCCCATGTTCAAGCAATTCTCTTGCCTCAGCCTGCCGAGTAGCTGGGGTTACAGGCGCACGCCATCACACCTGGCTAATTTTTGTATTTTTAGTAGAGACAGGGTTTCACCATGTTGGCCAGGCTGATCTCGAACTCCTGACCTCAGGTGATCCAACCACCTCGGCCTTCCAAAGTGCTGGGATTACAGGCATGAGCCACCGCGCCCGGCCCATATATGTTTTCATAAGGCCCTCAGCTCTGCCTTGTAGTCTCGCATACCTGACACAGGGACACAGTTTCTTAATGAAGCCCCGGTCCATCCTTCATTTTTATCAAGAGCACACTCACTCACGGTCCCTGCAGTCAAACTTCTCACACTTCAAGAAACCACAGGACATGAGTTCCCTGAAACTTCATTAGCCCCCACTTCTCTTACGAAGGATGATTGAGCTTCAAATTGTATTTAAGATATATGCCTTTTCAATTATTAAAAAGTCAAAAAATAAGATGCTTGTGAGGTTGCAGAGAAAAGGGAACACTTATTCGCTGTTGGTAGAAATGTAAATTCGCTCAGCCACTGTGGGAAGCAATTTGGAGATTTCTCAAGGAACTTAAGACAACTGCCATTTGAGTCAGCTGTCCGATTACTGGGATATATATCCGAAAGAAAGTAAATCATCCTACCACAAAGGCAACATGCAGTCCCGTGTTCATTCACAACAGCAAAGATATGGAATCAGCCTAGGTGTCCATGAGCGGTGAACTGGATAAAGAAAATGTGGCACATTGACACCATGGAACACTATGCAGCCATACAAAAAGAATGAAATCGTGTCCTTTGCCAAAACATGGATGCCTCTAGAGGCCATTATCCTAAGAAAATTAATGCAGAAACAGAAAAACAAATAGTGCATGTTCTGATCCGTAAGTGGGAGGTAAACATTGGATACTCACGGATATAAAGATGGGAGCAATGGACCCTGGGAGGGGGCAGGGGGACAGGGTTGAAAAACTATTGGGTTCTATGCTCACTACCTGGGGCACGAGATCGTTCATATCCCAAACCTCAGCGTCACACAGTATACCCCGGTAACAACCTGCACACGTACCTCCTGAACCCACAAGAAAAGTTGAAGTTAAATGTTTAAAAATACCTTTTTAGTAGTGTAAACAAAGCTATCCTAGAAATAAGAGGCAAAACAGGCCCAGGACACACATGTTGCTTGAAATCGGAAAGGACCTACTGATGCCCACAATAACTGAAGTACCGTTGGGGGCTGTGGGGAAAGCAGGAGAATGAAGGGAAGCCATCTGTGCCCTGAAGTCACCTCCCCCGGGGGAAGAAAGTTGTGCTTCAGCGTCACCAGCAGAACTTGGGGGGATGCTGGCTGGGGGACAGTGGAGACCGGGGCAGAGGTTCTTGGTGTGTTTTTAAGTGAAGTTTTAATCTCCAGCATACACCAGGGAAGAGACAGCATTCATTGATGGTTCTGTGACAGCCCAACCGTGAGAACAAAATGACTCTCTGCGTTTAAACCAGAGGGAATTTAATCCTAGGAGATGATTCCATGGGCCAGGGAAGGACTGGGAGCCCCACGAAAACAGCCAGGGATGAGGAAGCCACAGGCCCACCCCTGCCCCTGGCTGGGTGGATGCTGGAGAGCTGAGTAGCTGAGTAAGAAGCCCAGAGCCTAGGGCACAGGCCACCCGGAGACAGAACCAGGGCCTGCCCTGCAGATGGGTGGGGAAAGAGAAATAGGGCCGCTGAGATGAGCCTGGGGGACCCAGGGGGACTCAGACCCCAGATTCTGTCTCTGCCCTGGGCTGTGGGACCCAGGCCCCCTGAGAGGACGGAGCAGAGCTGAGCGCTGGGGGCAGGTTCCAACCCTGCACAGCCTCCACCAGCCGACTTTCTGGACTCCGGTTTACAGGCCTCCTCTGCTGATTTGTGTAATTTTAGAATTCTACCGGTTCTAAGTGAGCCTGGACTTCCTTTACAGGCCAGAGGTGCAGGGTTTGTGTTTGGGGCGATGGGAAATGCGTTTCCCGTGTGCGGGTGTGGCCTCTGTAGCTCGTTATTCCTGCCACGGTCGCTGCGCTTAGAAGAGCACAAGTGTCTTCTGCCTGCGCTCCAAACGCCTTCTTTATTCTTAACCTACTCTGGCAGTGCTCTCAAAAGCATGTATTTTTAGGCTTCTGGGTAGAAAGGACTGTGGTTCCTCTGGGAATAACCTGTTGGAAATCAAACAGAGAAGAAGCCGGGATGTTTCTGAACAATGCCAAGACGGAGCCGGCCTCCTCGAGTCCGTTAGAGCATCGCGTTCCTTTGATTTCCATTTTCGACGGCGCAAACTGCATCCTTCCTTTGAGACCGGCTAGAATCTTCTCTGATTAAAGGGTCTTCTGGCTTTCCATGGAAGCCTCTTCCTGGGAGCAGGCCAAACGTTTTAGTGAGAGGTCGGGTGCCTCTCGCGCTGCTGACGCCGTCAGAATCCGCTGCCTGCCTCGTCCATGCCAGTTCCCAGAAGGCGCCCGGTGCCAGAAGAGTTTGAACTTGATCCAAAATGTGTGCACCATGTAGCTTGGGAAAATTCAGCCATTAAAAGCAGCTAAAACTAAGCAATTTATGACTTACAGATGTCAATTTATGACAGAAATCACCGCATATATTGTACCAGCACAGTGACATTTTTTTGGTAATTAACGATTAAAACAGTCATTTCCCAATGTTATGAGCCACCTGGTGTCTGGTAGCATTCAGAGATGGTGCTGGCCTGGGCTGCGAGGACGCGGTGCTCCCAGCAATGGGGCAGGGTCTCCGGCAGGGAGCTGCGGGTGACACTGCTCTCCCCCCATGTCCCAGGATGTTCCCACAGTGACTGGGCACAGACCATGGGGGTGACATACAGTTTCTGCCTCAAAGATCCTGACAAACATTTGCTGAATGAGTGACTAAACGAATTAATTAAGGGTTCCGTTCCACAGGAGGTAAAAACCAAAACATACAGAAAATCTAGGCCAATAAAATACCTGCCAAGACCACAAGGATCCATTCCATTTCCGCCAGGGGTGAGTGTCCGGCAGGACCAGGCCAGAGGAAGGTGCTCTCTGACTCCAGGGCCACTCTTCAAGCCCTTCTCTCCCCTTCCCTCCCTCCTCTCCCCTTCCCTCCCTCCTCCTGTCGCCAATAGATGTGTTGATTGACTGTTCCCTGAAGCCGACCTTGGCAGCCCCTCGCTGAGTGCCGGGCAGGACCAGGCCAGAAAAAGGCTCTTCACGCCCTCTTCTCCCCTTCCCTCCCTCCTCCTGTCCCCAGTAGATGTGTTGATTGACTGTTCCCTGAAGCCGACCTTGGCAGCCCCTCACTGAGTGCCAGGCAGGACAGCCGCCCATGTTCTCTGGAGCCACTGTGGGGTGAACACACAGATCCTGCTCCCTCCGGCCCCCTGGGGTGAGCACTGGGGCTGTGCCTCCCACTTCTCTTCACCCACTCTCTAAAAGGCATCACCCGTGGGTCTGCAGGCATTTCATGCCCCTAATGCCCCAAGGACAGGGCCCCAAACTAGCCAGAGAGGAGGGAGCGTGCAGTGAAACCCGAGGCTGTATCCACTTACACGGCACAGGCCACAGCTGCCCTGGAGTGCAGTCCATGAGCTGCAAAGGAAAGGCTCCTGGCCCCAGGCCAGCTCCCCCCATGGGCATCCTGGGGGCTGCAGAGCCACCTGCTCGGAGTGGGAGTGGCCAGGAGCAGCCTTTAACCCCTGATTGATAATGACTTGGTGGCAGGATTGGGACTGTATGGTTCTGTGATCGGCTGCGAGGGAGGAGGCTCAGGCCACATGCGGGAGGAGGGCTTGGCCTCCACGCAGGAGGCCACCTGGAGCCGCTCAGCCTCACTCACCTCACTCCGCCCCCCTGGGGTGGCCACGCTGCCCCTCCTGAGGCCAGGACTCCATGTCTGCAGTATAAAGGCCAGTCAGTCCCATTCTGTCTGCCTTTCCCAGCACATTCTGACAAGCCCAGCTCAGCCCTCACTTCTCAGAGCACCTGTCTATTTGGTACATTGTGTCCCGGAGACATTCAGAGCCGGAAGCCCGGCAGGACCTTCGATTTGGCCATCGCTGGACCTGGGGCCCATCGGCCACCAGAGGGGCAGGAAGGGGATTTTGGAGCCAATCCCAGGCCCTGGCGCCTCAGGTGCTCCCTCTGTTTTCTTGTTTCATTTCTGGGTTACCAGGTGAGATGTCATTGGAAGAAAGACCTTAAAATTATTTTATTTTTGCTTTAAAAATAATAATGGAAGTTTTACCAGTTCTACAATAGAGGGATGGCAGGAAGGGCGGGCAGAGGGACAGCCGCCCAGGAAGGGAAAGTGTGAGGCCTGCTCCTGGCAGTGCAGTCCTGCTCGAGCCTGCCTCTTTTGCATCTTCTGGATCATTGAGAAACTGTCTGGGTGAAGGTGAGAAGGACTTTACCACTGTGGCAGCCCGGACAACAGGTTTTCCTCTCTTAAGCAAGTGGAGAATAATTTAGCTGGCTCCTATAAGTTTCCTGGGGCTGTCATAAGACCACAGCCCAGGTGGCTTCAATAATAGACATTCACGTTGTCACAGTCAGAGAGGCTGGAAACCCGAGATCAAGGTGTCCAGGGGCCTGGTTCCTCCTGAGGCCTCTCCATGGCTTGCAGATGGCGTCTTCTCTCTGTGTCCTCACAGGGTCCTCCTTCTGTGTGTGTCTGTGTCCTCATCTCCTCTTCTTATAAGGACACCAGGCAGGTTGGACCAGGGTCCAGTCATATGACTTCATTTATCTTCATCAGCTCTGTAAGGACACCATCTCCAAACACTGTCACCTTCTGAGGTCCTGGGAGTCAGGGTTTCCACGTGTGAATTTTGACAGGGCCGAATACAGCCCAGAACAGCCCCTTTTCTGCCGTCCTTTTTATTTTAAAAGCACAGTGCACCTTTAGTCTCCGAACTCCACACCATTCTTCCTGTTGCGGCACAAACAGGGCTCGCACGGCGGCCTGGGAAGCGCGGGGACCGTTAGGCGGAGACTCTGCATTCTAGATCTACCATCTCTTCACCTTCACTCTTGCCAAATGACTAAGCACTCGGGGTTGTGGCTTTCTTGTCTGTACAACAGAGGTATCTACTGGTCTCCAAATCTCTTCTAGCTCCCACGACCCTAACAAATTCCAAAATCAGTTCCTTTCACTCCAAAGCCATGAGACTGCATTACACTAAAACCTCTCCAGTGTCGGTCTGTGTGGCTGCAACCTCCCTGAAGGGGCCTGAGGTTCATGCCATTTATATCTCCAGTAAATCGTGGTAAATTGGGCCATGTGGGCCATCGGCTTTCATCAACTAGAGAGCGTCATTAGCTGCAAAAATGTGTTGACTCATATTCGTTGGTTTTCAAAGACCTATGGTGGCTCTGAGGTTTCCAGAGCCAGCACAATCAGTGCAATTACACTGAGACTCTCCAAAGAATGAGCTTTCTCAGAAAATAGCTGCTGTTCGCCGTGTCAGGCCAAAGGTACTCTAGGAAGGCATTTTCCGTGGTACTTTGAGGTTAGCACTTCCAGGAAATTCAGGGAGAATAAAGCAACAAGGAGGTGCTTAAAAATTCGATCAGAGGCCCAGAGAGGAAAACAAACAAAATGTAGTTGTGTGTTTTCCGAGTACAGTGGAGCAGGTGGCCGGGCAGCCTGCAGCGGGGAGGGGTTCCAGGTGTGGGCTGTGGTGTGGGGAGCAGGGACCCCATTTCTCAGAGCTTATTGGAAAGAGGGAAAAATCTCTTTGGCCCTGCTGGGTGTAGGGAAGACTTTGTTTGTCTTTTTGTGTTTACTTTTCAGTCCCTGGTAGCCTCTTATAAACAATATGGTGTGTTGTGTTTTGGAGGGATTCCCTCTATTGTAAGCTTGTATTGCATATTAACAGAAACTCAAGGCTTCCTGGATGGGCACAGAGAGCTCCATCTAATCTCACGCTGCAGACCCAGCACCCAGGAGAGGGGGTGAGAGGCTCTCCTGGCTGCCGTCTCTCCGGGATCGCAGTTGGCTGGAAGGAAGGGTCTGGGGTGGTTCCCACGCTTGAACAGGGATCGGGTTGTCCCGCTGGGCACCCTGTGATATCTCCTGCCTTTCCAGGGCATCGGTTTTGGAGTCTAGAGGATGGGGACAATGGGTTTGGCCAACTCTGTGACAATGAGGAGGAAGAGTGCATTGCGTTCTCTCTTACGCAGCTCTCTCAGTGCCGTGCTCTGCATTGCGTTCGCCTCTTATTTAAACTGTTTGACCATGCGTGGGTCTCGGAGGAAGAAAAGGAGGCAGCGTCTTCTCTTAGCACAATCAGGACAAATCCATGCCACTGGGTGGAAACACCAACCCCGGGCACCCTGCTCACCCCTGCACCCTCCTCCCGTCTCCCTCCTTCCTTCCTGCATTTCTCCCACAAATATACCTTTGGAATAATCAAATAACAAAGATGAATCACAATCCATCCACTCCCAGGGCTTTCAAAAAGAGCGCCTTGTGTCCCTGCTAAACAGAGACAGTCGAATTTTTTTGAGGAAACTTGTTTGCCTGCTGAGTTCCAACTTACACACTCAGCCATGTCTGCTCCATGCCTCACCCCACTCCGCCTTTCAATGAGAGGAGGGGACCCCCCCAGCTCCACGCCCCACCCCACTCCACCTTTCAGTGAGAGAGGAGGGGACCCCCCAGCTAAAGTGATTCCCCCCTAGTGTTTCGAACTCCGTGTACCGGACGCCAGCCTCTGCTCCCACCCTGTACTGAAACCCGGCTGCAGTTCCCCTCAGACGTCTTCAGATTCTCCCTCTCTTTTAGCATCTTGTAGTTGGCAACTCAACATGCTTAATTCAAGAACAATGACAAACCAACGCCTCTCTCCCCCGCCCCTGTGGCCCAGCCAGATCACCTTAACAGCCCACCCTCATTCCTGCCAGGCCTGCCTCGGCCCCTCACACTCTGGCCACTCACTTGTCCCTTTTAATAAAACTGTCAGCCCAGGTCACAAAATAACTCTTCCCAGGTTCCTAACTCGCCAGGTGTCCTGGCATCACGTGACACCATTAGCCAACCTCCCTTGAGTGTGGTAGGTTCCATGTAGTTTCTGTCAGCTTTTTCTCTTCCTGTTTCTTTCTGTCAGTGCCAGTTTCTCTTTCTCTCCTTATCCTAGATCTTTACTCCCCCTACACTTACTGGACGGCAATTCACATCTGTGGCTTCAACTGCAACCCACGCATTTGCCAAATCTGACCCTCTAGTGAGACTTTATTCACCCTGCTCCACTGCCTCTGGGGTATCTTGGCTGCGATATCTCACTGGCCTTCCCAAATTCAAAGTCTGTGAAACTTAGTTTGTCATCACTGTCTCTGGACCTACACAGTGTATTCACCATGTCAGTGAAGGGGTCTTTGGCTATGCCGGGGGTCCCCGAAACCCCCCTCAGGCTCTGTACTCACTGGTACTCACTGGGTAGGGCTGGCGCACCAGCAGCCATTGTTTAACATTGTGAAAGTCCACAAATTGTCACCAGCGAAGGGAGGGGAGCCTGGGTGACAACAAGGAGAATCCAGGCATTTGCCTCCAGACATCCTTGCCCAGTGAGTTGCGGGAATGGGCTTAGTTCCCCCAGAAATGATGGTGATAATGTGTGCAATGACACCAGCTGGAAAACTCACCTGAGCCTCCGGGTCCAAGGTTCAGCTGGGAAAGTTCACCTGAGCTTCGGCGTCCAAGGTTTTTATTGAGGGTCAGTCACTTAGGGAGGCAGTGTCTGTGTGACAGACCACAGCAGCTCAGACTCCAGCCTCCCAGAGGGAAAACAGAAATTCTCTATAATTCCATTATTAAAATAAACTATATGGTCAAGCAAGTACCACGTGTCCTGAATCCTCAGGCCCACAAAACACTGTGACCAGGCAAGGCCTTCCCAGGCCTGTCAGGGGCCTCCCAACAGCCCTGCCCTGAGTCTTGGCTCTGGCCTTCAGATCAGTCCTGCAATGACAAACCAATGCCTATCTCCCCCTCCCCACAGTGTATACACCTGTGCAGCCTCTTGCCCCCTCCCCACAGTGTATACACCAGTGCAGCCTCTCCCCCCAACACAGTGCGTAGACTTGCACAGCCTCTCTCCCCCTCCCCACAGTGCATACGCCAGTGCAGCCTCTGCCCCCAACACAGTGCATAGACTTGCACAGCCTCTCTCCCCCTCCCCACAGTGCATACGCCAGTGCAGCCTCTCCCCTCAACACAGTGCATAGACTTGCACAGCCTCTCTCCCCCTCCCCACAGTGTATACACCAGTGCAGCCACTCCCCCACAACACAGTACATAGACTTGCACAGCCTCTCTCCCCCTCCCCACAGTGCATACGCCAGTGCAGCCTCTCCCCCCAACACAGTGCATAGACTTGCACAGCCTCTCTCCCCCTCCCCATAGTGCATACGCCAGTGCAGCCTCTCCCCCCAACACAGTACATAGACCTGCACAGCCTCTCTCCCTCCCCACAGTGTATACACCTGCACAGCCTCTCTCTCCCCCAACACAGTACATAGATTTGCACAGCCTCTCTCCCCCTCCCCACAGTGCATACGCCAGTGCAGCCTCTGCCCCCAACACAGTGCATAGACTTGCACAGCCTCTCTCCCCCTCCCCACAGTGTATACACCTGCGCAGCATCTCTCCCAGTTTCCCCAAAGGTAATGATGTCACCTGCACTGCTATGCACACAGAGTGGTGACCGACAGGCCACAGTATCTTATCTTCAGGTCCTGTGTCTGTGTAGCCAAGGCCTCCCACCCGCGTCCCGCTCTCGACGAATGGCTTCTGTCTGCTCCTGCCAGGCTGTGTTTACTGACCTGTTCCTAACATGCAGTGCTCACTGGGTTGTTCACCCTTTCCCCAAAACCAGTGAGTGTGTTCGCACTTCACAGACCCTCCCTTCCTGGCAGCCCTGCCTCCAGCCAGCCCTCATCGCATTCCCGCCTTGCCTGGCATTAGCCGATGGATGCAGAGGGCTTATCCGGCTTTGCAGGGAGTCGTTTGTCAGGGCCTTCCATCGGAATGGCTATCGGGAGATGGGTAATGGGTTCTGCAGCCTTTCGACCTCCCAGCGTTGTTTTCACCCTTTGCCCAGCTGTGATCTCCTAAACATCATTACCATCCTCCAGCCGGGACGTGGCCTTTCTGCAAAGGCTTTAGCATCTGCCTTAAGGGGCAAGAGATGCCTGGTACAGGGTGGCACTCTTGTCTCAGATGAGACCCAGGACACGGAGAGTTGCTGCCCCTTCTCCAGTGACTTGTGGTGGCAGTGTTGTGATTGGAGAGCCACAGTGTCCCCAGGCTGTGTCCCCATCTCCTCACCATTTCTCCTCAAAGTCAGGAGCAGGACAGACAGGCAGAATTTTTCACTGCGAGTTGCAGGTGGTAATTTTAGAGCTGGTCAACAGTGGTAACGGAAGCACGGGAGAGCCTTCCCACCCCGTGGAGGCCGGTCTGTAAGTGCAGGAACCTGTTGCCGAAACACCAGGGTTTTGACCTACATCCTGCTGCTCTCTGCACGGAAAGCCAATCACTGGGACCACGAGTACTGCTGACGCAGAGGAGAGGAGAGCTCAGTCTCAAATCCATCTCCTGGACCGACTAAAATCGGGAGTTCACGTAGCAGGGAAGAAATGTAACCATGTGTGGGAAAACAGGAACCAGGGAGAGTTAGGGGGAGCCATCAGTCAACAGGCAGCAGGTGGTCACAAAGGCAGTCAAGGCAGGCAAGGGGCTGGTGTCTTGCTCTTCCGATGCAGTGATCTGGTGAGTTTCAGCTCCTTGGTGCTTTCTTTTTTTTTTTAAAGGACTAAGGGTCATTTCCTGAGGAAGAAACTCAGATAAAGCAAATGTAATTTTCAAGCTTTAAGACCAGAAGGGTCCATTTCTCTGTTCATTTCAAAAAGCTATGGGACTGTTGGGTCAGTTTGAAATCTGTGCTCCCTGCAGCCTCCCTCATCCTGCCCACTAGCACTGGCCGTTCTGCTGACTGCTCCCAACACTAGAGAGTGCAGGGCACTGACTACATGCCCCGTGCGCCCTCACTGCGCTTCTGCCTCTGCTGACCTTGGGGCTTCCTTGTTGCTTTTCATGGAGTGCAGCACAGTCACCATAGGCCCCTTTGCCATCCCTGCCAAGGCTGCCCACACCCACGAACAGGTAATACCCCTTGGCTGCTAAGGCCACAGCATTCCCAGAGCTCCACGAGGACCCTTCCTGGCTAACCGAGGCCATCTTCCTTAAGGGAAGGGGAGGAAGGGGAGGAAAAAGTCAGGGAAGAGACAAAATTCGCAGTCAAGGTCACTGCCCGCGGGAGCTCACTGAAACTCTCTTCTAACTTTGTGTACAAGGAAATCCATTCTCATTTCTGTTCTACTTGTTTTCCTTTATCTTATATCCCAGAGAATCTATGGTTTACTGTTACAAACATCCCCCAAATGTTCAGATCACACTGATTTTAATTATTTTGAACTATCTTTAAACATAAGAAAGATAGAAAATGGAAGAAAAGTGCAAGATGTAGCTAGTCTTCCAGAGAAGGATGCTGGTGTGAATTGCACCCACTGTATCTGGTTCTGAAAATATTCCCTAGTGGGATCAATACTCGTTAGGAAGCATGGAGCCATGGCTGCACTGTGCTACACACTCTTCAGAATGAAGTGGCACCGCATGACACAGAGGCTCAGAATGCCAAGGCCAGCAGCTGTGAGACAAGTGGAGAGATGGAGCTGGTATTTCAACTCCTGTTACTGGGTGCTCAGCAAAAGTCAGTTCACCAAGCCTACCAGACTTCCCAGGGACCATCCACATTCCTGCTGCAAGGGACATTGTGTGTGTGTGTGTGTGTGTGTGTGTGTATACTTTGCTATTATAGACTTCACATATTATATAGACTTTACCTAATATGTAGACTTTATATATAATGTAGACACTTTGAATTATATAGACCATACGTATTTTGTTTACTTGACATATTACATACTCTTTACATATCATATACACCCTACATGTTATATAGACTTTATGTGGTATGTACACTTGACATAGCATTTGTACTTTACAAATCATATAAACTTTATTATGTGTACTTTACATGCTACATACATTTCACACTGTATGTACACATTACACATCGCATTGACTATACCCGCCTCCTAGACGTAAGAGCAGGGTCTGTACCTGTGCATCCATTCCCGCCCCTGTACCCCCTGTCCAGGCCCCGGCATTATCCTCCTGCCACCACCTGCTGTGCCCGGCCCCAACAGAGCCTTCTCCAACCCTGCAGACCCTGCCGTGACGACTCTGGCTGGGTCCTCTGGAATCCAGAAGGGTGGTCTCTCAGGCAAGCAGCTAGTCCACGTCCCGTGTGAAAAGCCACAGACCCCCAAGCCTGCTCCTGAGAAGCCTGCCCTGGGCCAAGGAGTGGAGCTGCTCATCAGAGCCCCCGAAGGTGGCACACAGCCCAACACTCCGCACCCCCGGGGGCTTCATGCTGCTGCCCACCAGGTGGTGACCAACGGGAGGGGCTGTGGCCACTCACCAGCCAGTGCCCCTGGAAACTCAGCAGCCCTGGTGCCACCTGCCCCAGGCCAGGCTCATCCCACTGCCCTCCCAGACCCTGGCGTTGCTTTCAATATTCACATAACAAGAGCATGGGGTTTCATGACCGTCCTGAGCAGGGCCCAGAGAGTCTGCCTGGGACGGCTCTACTCCACGGTCAGGAAAACACACAGTGAAGTCATCATTGCCCTTTCATCACGTCCCTGAGGTCACCATTTTGTGTGTTTTTTTTTTTGTTTGTTTTTTTTTTTTTTTGGTCACCTGCCATTCTCGCTTTCAGTAAGAGCTATCTGTGGACCATCACAAACATGTTAAGGTCCCATTTTGCAAGAGATAAGTTCTTAAAATACAGACAAAATTGACTTGATGGGATGAACTTGAGATTTCTGGCCAGAGCTGCCTCACGTCACGGGCGGGCTGTAAACTTAATGAGTCTTTGCTGTTGCACTAATAAGCGGGCCCAGCGCTGCCCCTTCACAGGGAAGAAGAAGGAACGCAGGCCCGGCTGCTCAGGAGAGCACAGGCACAGATAATTCCACCACATCATGGTTCGGGTCTATTTTTTATTTCCAAAGCTCCCTTTATCCGTTGAAGAATGAAGTTGGTGACAATTTATCTTTCCTCTGATGGTAGCGTTTCCTTTCCAGTTGAAATCTCTTCATCTGCGAGGGTGTGTGGGAGACGCCAATAGCTCCCAGCCCGAATAAATGCGGCAATGGACGGCAGATCTGCCGTTACTGCAATGTCTAAATTGTCCTTCAATTAAGCTGGAGAGCTTTCTGAGAGCTTTAATTGATCTCTTTTTAGATACAATGAGCTATCAAAAATGGAATACTGAATAACAGGCTTGTTGTCCCCGTCTGCTATTCAAGGGAGGAGGGAGCTATTTAAAATGTGTTCCCAGCATATTAATTGCAGGAGGCCTTGACTGCACTGCAGACCCACCTGGAGGACGCCCTTCACAGGCAACTCTTTGAAGTTGGAAGGACCTGGCGCAGCCCTCCAGATGAGGCCTGGTAGAGGAGGGCGGGCAGGACGCCCGGCTTCTGCTTCTCAGGGTTTCGTTTCTGGCTCTCAACGCCGCCATCCTGCACCGTGGGAACGCAGAGAGCAGGGAGAGCAGGGAAGCCACCCCACACCGCCCCAGGGTGGAATCCCTTCCGTCCCAACAACCCAGGCAGGGAAGCCGCACCGTCGCTGTAACAGGCCTGAAGCTGCCCAGCGCGGAGCTGCAAGTGGAAAAACACCTGGACAAGAATCTGCTCGGGCGGACGGACAGCTGTGATCCAGGGTCCCAACTGCGTCTGAGTGGGGTCTGGACGGCTGTGATCCAGGGTCTGAACTACATCTGAGTGGGGTCTGGGCGGCTGTGATCCAGGGTCTGAACTACATCTGAGTGGGGTCTGGGCGGCTGTGATCCAGGGTCTGAACTGCGTCTGAGTGGGGTCTGGGCGGCTGTGATCCAGGGTCTGAACTGCGTCTGAGTGGGGTCTGGGCGGCTGTGATCCGGGGTCCGAACTGCGTCTGAGTGGGGTCTGGACGGCTGTGATCCAGGGTCCGAACTGCGTCTGAGTGGGGTCTGGACGGCTGTGATCCAGGGTCTGAACTGCGTCTGAGTGGGGTCTGGGCGGCTGTGATCCAGGGTCCGAACTGCGTCTGAGTGGGGTCTGGACGGCTGTGATCCAGGGTCCGAACTGCGTCTGAGTGGGGTCTGGACGGCTGTGATCCAGGGTCTGAACTGCGTCTGAGTGGGGTCTGGACGGCTGTGATCCAGGGTCTGAACTACATCTGAGTGCGGTCTGGGCGGCTGTGATCCAGGGTCTGAACTGCGTCTGAGTGGGGTCTGGACGGCTGTGATCCAGGGTCTGAACTGAGTCTGAGTGGAGTCTGGACGGCTGTGATCCAGGGTCTGAACTGCGTCTGAGTGGGGTCTGGACGGCTGTGATCCAGGGTCTGAACTACATCTGAGTGCGGTCTGGGCGGCTGTGATCCAGGGTCTGAACTGCGTCTGAGTGGGGTCTGGACGGCTGTGATCCAGGGTCTGAACTATATCTGAGTGTGGTCTGGGCGGCTGTGATCCAGGGTCTGAACTACGTCTGAGTGGGGTCTGGACGGCTGTGATCCAGGGTCTGAACTGCGTCTGAGTGGGGTCTGGGCGGCTGTGATCCAGGGTCTGAACTGAGTGTGAGTGGGGTCTGGACGGATCCAGGGTCTGAACTGAGTCTGAGTGGGGTCTGGACGGCTGTGATCCAGGGTCTGAACTACGTCTGAGTGGAGTCTGGACGGCTGTGATCCAGGGTCTGAACTGCGTCTGAGTGGGGTCTGGACGGCTGTGATCCAGGGTCTGAACTACATCTGAGTGCGGTCTGGGCGGCTGTGATCCAGGGTCTGAACTGCGTCTGAGTGGGGTCTGGACGGCTGTGATCCAGGGTCTGAACTACATCTGAGTGCGGTCTGGGCGGCTGTGATCCAGGGTCCGAACTGCGTCTGAGTGGGGTCTGGACGGCTGTGATCCAGGGTCTGAACTACGTCTGAGTGGGGTCTGGACGGATCCAGGGTCTGAACTGCGTCTGAGTGGGGTCTGGGCGGCTGTGATCCAGGGTCCGAACTGCGTCTGAGTGGGGTCTGGACGGATCCAGGGTCTGAACTGCGTCTGAGTGGGGTCTGGGCGGCTGTGATCCAGGGTCCGAACTGCGTCTGAGTGGGGTCTGGACGGCTGTGATCCAGGGTCCGAACTGCGTCTGAGTGGGGTCTGGACGGCTGTGATCCAGGGTCTGAACTGCGTCTGAGTGGGGTCTGGACGGCTGTGATCCAGGGTCCGAACTGCGTCTGAGTGGGGTCTGGACGGATCCAGGGTCTGAACTGCGTCTGAGTGGGGTCTGGGCGGCTGTGATCCAGGGTCCGAACTGCGTCTGAGTGGGGTCTGGACGGCTGTGATCCAGGGTCTGAACTGCGTCTGAGTGGGGTCTGGGCGGCTGTGATCCAGGGTCTGAACTGCGTCTGAGTGGGGTCTGGGCGGCTGTGATCCAGGGTCTGAACTGCGTCTGAGTGGGGTCTGGGCGGCTGTGATCCAGGGTCTGAACTGAGTGTGAGTGGGGTCTGGACGGCTGTGATCCAGGGTCTGAACTGCGTCTGAGTGGGGTCTGGACGGCTGTGATCCAGGGTCTGAACTACATCTGAGTGGGGTCTGGGCGGCTGTGATCCAGGGTCTGAACTGCGTCTGAGTGGGGTCTGGACGGCTGTGATCCAGGGTCTGAACTGAGTCTGAGTGGAGTCTGGACGGCTGTGATCCAGGGTCTGAACTGCGTCTGAGTGGGGTCTGGACGGATCCAGGGTCTGAACTACATCTGAGTGGGGTCTGGACGGCTGTGATCCAGGGTCTGAACTACGTCTGAGTGGGGTCTGGACGGATCCAGGGTCTGAACTACATCTGAGTGGGGTCTGGATGGCTGTGATCCAGGGTCTGAACTACATCTGAGTGGGGTCTGGATGGCTGTGATCCAGGGTCTGAACTACGTCTGAGTGGGATCTGGACGGATCCAGAGTCCGAACTGCGTCTGAGTGGGGTCTGGACGGCTGTGATCCAGGGTCCAAACTGCGTCTGAGTGGGGTCTGGACGGCTGTGATCCAGGGTCCGAACTGCGTCTGAGTGGGGTCTGGACGGATCCAGGGTCTGAACTACATCTGAGTGGGGTCTGGACGGCTGTGATCCAGGGTCTGAACTACGTCTGAGTGGGGTCTGGGCGGCTGTGATCCAGGGTCTGAACTACGTCTGAGTGGGGTCTGGGCGGCTGTGATCATGGGGTTCAAATTGCGTCTGAGTGGGGTGCTACCTTCTAAGGCCGCAGGTGAGACTCACGTGCCCTGGAACATTCCTTGAGGCAGCCAGACCAGGAGGGCGGGGGCTGTTGCCTGACGTGCCCTCGGTGGCATAGACTGAGTTTATTTTCATTCTCCTCCTGACCACGTTGGCCACCGAGAAACTCTTCATTTCCTAAATCAGATGTGGACTTGCTCATCTCAGGACCCACGGGCTGCCCTTTAGGGACCAAAACACATGTGTCAGCCAAGAACGAGCAACTGCAAATAAAATCCTGTTTTCTTCTTATATTGTTGAGAATCGGGGCCTTGATTTGGTTCCCAGATTTTAAAAACAAGTCAGAGCTGCCACGATTCAGATAAAATCCAAACTGTCTCTTACACCTCTAATTATCAGCTTGCCTTCTGGGTAAAATGGTGCTATTCAATTATTGGTTTTTGTTCACTTGTCAACCACCAAAAGAAAAAAAAAATTATCACTGCTTTCAAACCACTAAAAGAACAGAAATTCTGCAAATTGCCTTCTAAACATAGCTACTTCCGACCCAATACCTCTTTGCAGAGTGTCAAAAATTGTATAATGTTATGTTGCATGCAAATCATATTTAACGGGGGCTGTTTCTAAGATTTTGTTTTACATTATGTAATTTCATTGAAGTGAATTATTTTGTCACCACTTTATGTGTGGCTCATTTTGACACTTTCCACTTATCACATAAAATATACGTTTGATCCAGCCCCTGTAAATAAAAGCAAAATTGTCAAACAGGAGCATGCCGCTTTAAATTCCCTCGCAAAGTGAAGGCAATAACTAGCTCTCCTGGGCAACTTCAGGGTTCCAAACACCATGGGTGGGCCTCCCCAATTTCCGGTGTACCCTCTACCTTGCCAGTTGTGTTTCATTTCCTGTTTGAGAGAAATGAGACCACCATAGGTAGCCTAGTCCCGGAGAGGTTACTTGCACTTCAACACCAACAGGCCCAATGTCCCCTTTCTGTAGCCTTGGAAGCCAGGCACACAGCACTGGTCGATGGGTTTGCATCAGACCAGACCATGGCATGGAGAAAATGGCACCAGCCGCTGTGGAGTGAGTGCCTAACACCTGCAAGGCTTAGGCAGAGAAGGACTCCAGGCCCCTTCATGCTCACTAGCAAGTGGGTAGCACATCTGTTGCACTGCTGAACCAAAAAATAAATAAACGAGAGACAAGGCATTCAGGAAATGTTAAGTAAGGTGCATAATCCCAGAGCAGCTACATCCTAAGGCCGGCTTTGAACCCAGAGTGCTGCCCCTGGAGTTTCTGTTATACCCGCTCTGGCCTTGCCTCCCCTCCGCTACAGTCTCCTAGAGGAAACTCTGGCTGTAGGATGCAGAGACTCACATCCCAGGGCCGACGTGCATGCTGTGTGGAGCCAGGCAGGTCTCTGCCCTCTCTGGCCTGAGACCCCTCACCTGTCGTGAGAATGACGCCTGCACCCTCTGAGACCCACAGGACTGCAGAGAGGCCTCGGTGAGGGTGGATGGGATGCCGTGCAGTGTGAACTTCTGGGCAGGCAGAGCCTGTCACTCTCCCTCTAGGGGTGGAACTGAGTGTCCACTGCATGCGGCAGCAGCCAGGGTCAGGCGGCATGGGCAGCAGAGGCTTCTCCTGCCCTGATTTCTGCTGAGTTCCTGTCCTCGACTCCCATGGCCCCGACGTTGTGACGTCCTCTAGTGGCACTAAAGGACCTCGAGCCCCTCGGCATGCCTGGCCTCAGCCTACTATACCCTCACCCAGGCCACGTCCATGGGCAGAACGCTCCCCGTCCACCACGTGATGCCCATCCTCCAAGTGCCCTGTGGCCTCCATGCCTCTCACTCTTCCCGCAGGTCTGGGTCAGGTGTGCGTCCAGCATGTCCTCTGGGGGCCGCGTGATCCTCTGAGATAACTCACACTGGGCTCTGCCACAGCTGCCCACTTCTCTCTCGTCTACCAGATGCTTGGGGATGTCCTGTCTCACTCCTGGATCCCCTGTGTCTAATGCAAATTGAGGAGAGGGTGAAGGAGGGATCAGAGGAGACCCCTCCGGCTTGTGCTCTGGAAGGGGCTTCGCAGTCTGGCCAGTCCCAGATCAAGACCCCTGTGGGACACCCACCAGCCGGCACAGACCCACGGGCTCCCTCCTTCCCAGAGGTCTGCGACCCCTGCAGCCACAGCCACAAACGCAGGCACTGGAGAGACTGCCAGGCTCTCTGGACACATGCAAGAACACGGCATTGGCCCTGACAGGGAAGGGAAGGGAGGCAGGCAGGTGCTCAGTACATCCAGCCTCTAAAGGAGATCCCCCAGGCCTCTGTGTCATCTGTGTGTGTCTCAGAAGCACTCCAACTTGAGCCCTTCACCACCTTGCTCTAGGAGGAGCTACTGCTTGCAGTTCTGAACTTTCAATTTTTTAAAAAAAGCAATTCTTTTTCTTTTTTACTCTAAGTTCCAGGATACATGTGCAGAACGTGCAGGTTTGTTACATAGGTATACATGTGCCATGGGGGTTTGCTGCACCTGTCGACCTGTCATCTAGGTTTTAAGACCGGCATGCATTAGGTATTTGTCCTAATGCTGTCCCTCCCCTCACCCCTCACCCCCTGACAGGTCCCGGTGTGTGATGTTCCCCTCCCTGTGTCCATGTGTTCTCATTGTTCAACTCCCACTTTTGAGTGAGAACATGCTGTGTTTGGTTTTCTGTTCCTGTGTTAGTTTGCTGAGGATGATGGTTTCCAGCTTCATCCATCTCCCTGCAAAGGACATGAGCTCCTTCCTTTTTATGGCTGCATAGTATTCCATGCTGTATATATGCCATGTTTTCTTTGTTCAGTCTATCATTGATGGGCATTTGGGTTGGTTCTAAGTCTTTGCTATTGTGAACAGTGCTGCAATAAACATACGTGTGCATGTGTCTTTATAGTAGAATAATTTATAATCCTTTGGGTATATACCCAGTAATGGGATTGCTGGGCCAAATGGTATTTGTGGTTCTTGATCCTTGAGGAATTGTTGCACTGTCTTCTGCAATTGTTGAACTAATTTACATTCCCACCAACAGTGTAAAAGTGTTCCAATTTCTCCACATCCTCACTGGCATTTATTGTTTCTTGACTTTTTAATCATTGCCATTCTGACTGGCATGAGATGGCATCTCAGTGTGGTTTTGATTTGCATTTCTCTAATGACCAGTGATGGTGAGCTTTTTTCATATGTTTGTTGGCCTCATAAATGTCTTCTTTTGAGAAGTGTCTGTTCATATCCTTGGCCGACTTTTTGACGGGGTTGTTTGTTTTTTTCTTGTAAATTTGTTTAAGTTCCTTATAGAGGCTGGATATTAGACCTTTGTCAGATGGGTAGCTTGCAAAATTTTTCTCCCATTCTGTAGGCTGTCTGTTCACTCTGAGGATAGTTTCTTTTGCTGTGCAGAAGCTCTTTAGTTTAATTCAATCCCATTTATCAATTTTGGCTTTTGTTGCAATTGCTTTTGGCATTTTCGTCATGAAGTCTTTGCCCATGACTATGTCCTGAATGGCATTGCCTAGGTTTTCTTCTAGGGTTTTTATGGTTTGGGGTTTTACATTTAAGTCTTTAATCCATCTTAAGTTAATTTTTGTATAAGTAAAAGGAAGGAGTCCAATTTCAGTTTTCTGCTTGCGGCTGGCCAGTTTTCCCAGCACCATTTATTAGATAGGGAACAATTTCCCCATTGAAAAAGAGCAATTTTTATTTTCTCATTTTTCTTGGGAACATTTTGCCTGTCTAGAGCCAGAGTCCTAGTTACAACATTCAGAAAATAAACATATAAGCTAGATTCTAGAGCCGTGAGTAATCTGAAAGGAGGCGGCCACCGTCCGGTGCCAGATGCCACATGTGAAGTGGAACGTGGAGACGCAGGTGCAGACCTGCCTTCCCAGTCCGTTGCTGATGGAGAAGCCTCAAGGTTTTTGGGTGACACTGTGCTGGGAGGAAGGTGTCTTAGCCCACTCAGCTGCTATCACAAAATACCATAGATTTGGTGGTTTAGTTTAAACAATAAATGTTTATTTCTCAGTTCTCAAGGCTGGAAACCAAAGACCAAGATCCAGCCCACTAGGATTGCCATGAAGGCCCCTTCCTGGCTTGTAGATGGCGCTTTCTGTGTCCTCGTGTGGCAGAGAGCAAGAGCCCGGTCTCTTTCTCTTCTAATCGTGAGGGCCTCACCCTCAGGACCCCATCTAACCCAAATCACCTCCCCAGGAACCACCTCCTCATGCCAGCATCTGGAGTTGAGGCTTCAACGCCTGAATCAGGGGCACGACACAGGGTTGGACCCACCCTGCCAGGAGCTTGGGCACTCTCCTGCTGCTGCCCATGTTTCTGGGGCCTGCTTGATGGGCCGGGATCTCTGTGTTCTCTTTCTATCCTAAAAGGCCAGGATTCCAAGTCATCTGTGAAACCATGGGAGAGAGATTTGATGTCTGCCTCCCTTTCAAATGAAAGGAAAAGACTGGGACGAGAGAGGGCGGCACTCCCCAGACAGGCCCTGACCACACCCTGGCCCCCACGCCTCAGCAGAACAACTCTGAACTTCTATGGACTCACAGGGGCGAGGTCGGGGCAAGGGAACTCAGGGCCTGCACTGCTCACCAGGTGAGAAGTCACAGCTGGTTAGGAGGCCACAGGTAAGCAGAGGTGCGAGCCACCCGGGACAGGGTGAGTTATGTCGACAGAGTCCCCTCAAGGGAACCCAGTGTCTTGGCAGCAGATGAGGCATGCGTCCCTGTCAGCCTCCACACAGGATAAATGGATGGCCCGGAATCTCGCCATCAGCGACATTGCCGTCTGGGGAAAAATGGGAGTTGAGTTTGATGTTATAAATCACCATAATTTGTTACAATTTCCAAAGACAAATATGACAGTGTGGAATTACTTTGCAGCGCCGAGGCTGTCATTTGCAGAAGCCGTAAAGTGCACGAGCAAATCTAAGAAGGAGATACATTTAATCTGAGGACGCAGAGCTCAGTATCACCTCGGAATATTGTGTTTACCGAGAACTCAGCTGCACTGGCACACGGAGGTATTGCCGAATGCTCATTTCATTCCACTCCGAATCAGACTGACTCTCGTCTGAAGATTTTGTTAGCAGCTGGGATGGATTCTCCTGGACAGCTTACATTTGCTCAGCTGGAGGAGAGAAGAGCTGATGTCTGTGTTGCCCGGGGACGGCGTAAAGAGCAGAATCCCAGCACACGCGTGACCGTGGGAACCTCCCTCACCATCATGGATCAGAGCAGGAGCCAGAGGGGTGTTGCGTGTCACCAAAATCCTGTTGAGGACCCATGGGTTGGCGAGGCGTGGCCTGCGTGCTGTTGCCTCGTCCTAGCTCATTCACCTGTGAATAACTCACCCCGTCCCTGGTGGCTCGCACCTCTGCTTACCTGTGGCCTCCTAACCAGCTGTGACTTCTCACCCGGTGAGCAGCGCAGGCCCTGAGTCTCCTTGCCCCGACCTCGCCCCTGTGAGTCCATAGAGGTTCAGAGTTGTTCTGCTGAGGCGTGGGGCCAGGGTGTGGTCAGGGCCTGTCTGGGGAGTGCCGCCCTCTCTCACCCCACTCTTTTCCTTTCATTTGAAAGGGAAGCAGATATCAAATCTCTCTCCCATGGTTTCACAGATGACTTCATTCACAATGATCTGGACACCTCTCCAGCCACTTCCCTCTCAGTGACGGGGCTGCACACGTGGGCAGGGAGCCATAGAGACGGGCATTGGTAGCAGCATCCGGAAATGAGACCACAGGGTAAAACAGGGAACACCATCAGCTCCGCCAACTAATGCAGGGATCATCTGCTGAGGAGACAGTTTCAGAAGCATCAAGGGAGGAAGTAATGGCGGAATTAAGCAGAAATGACTGCTCAGATGGGAATGGACATCGGAAGGCAAAGGCGGAAACGCCGAAAGCCTCCGGGTTCTTCTGGCCTTTGGACTTCAGTGCAAGAGGCCGGGAGCGGTGGCTCATGCCTGTAATCCCAGCACTTTGGGAGGCTAAGTTGGGTGGATCACCTGAGGTCAGGAGGTCAAGACAAGCCTGGCCAACACGGTGAAGCCCCCGTCTCTATTAAAAATACAAAAATTAGCCAGGCATGGTGGTGGGTGCCTATAATCCCAGCTACTTGGGAGGCTGAGGCAGGAGAATCGGTTGAACCCGGGAGACAGAGGTTTCAGTGAGCCAAGATCATGCCCTTACACTCCAGCCTGGGCGACAAAGTGAAACTCCTTCTCAAAAAAAAAAAAAAAAACTATTTCAATGCAGGAAAATCGCCTTCTAATCCTTCTTAACCCTAGTGTTTGTCTCCTCAGAAACTAAATCAATCTCTCTCTCTCTCTCTCTCTCCCTCCCTCCCTCCCCCATCAAAGTCATCAAAACCCAGTCTCTTCAACCTGCATATCCATAAAATAATTAAAATCCTGTAATTATGGTTTTGATAATCAGAAAATTATTTACAAAAATATTCCTAAATGATTACGTTAAAAACCACTTCTAGGAATGCGTGTGTGGTGAACGTGGACTAGCCTCCCTTGGGGCCATGAGGGTCCCGTCCGCTGACAGAGGGGGAGGGTGGGTGCTTCTCTTCCGCACAGGACTTGTCTGGGCATTTCATACGCTGATGTTACTCCGAGGAGGAAATGGAATATGCGTAAGATCTTTCCTAAATTCCTTTCAAACCTCTAGCTGTGGTGCTCTTTGGAACATAGTTTAGGAAATATGCTCAGAAATCATTAACTCATCCTGGTATTCCCAAGGGCAGCATCTTTTGTGGCAAAGGCAAGAACCCACTGCTCACCCTTGGGAGGCATCGCAGAGTCAGGACGTGGCATGGCCTTGAGTCCCTAAACAGCCCCACAGTGCTCCCAGCGTAGCCTTGGTTTCCTAGGGGGACTCGCACGTGGCAATGCCAGGGTCACACCTCTCAGGATTGTGATTAAAAGGTGATGTTTGGTCGTGATTAAAAGGTGGTAGTGGCTCACTCCTGTAATCCCAGGACTTTGGGAGGCCAAGGCAGGCAGATCACGAGGTCAGGAGTTTGAGACCAGCCTGGCCAACATAGTGAAACCCCATCTCTACTAAAAATACAAAAAAAAAAAAAGAATGAGCCAGGCATGGTGGCGCACGCCTGTAGTCCCAGCTACTCGGGAGGCTGAGTCAGGAGAATCGCTCGAACCAGGGAGGCAGAGGTTGCAGTGAGCCGAGATCACCCCACTGCACTCCAGCCTGGGCAATGGAGCGAGGCTCCATCTCAGAAAAAAAAAAAAAAAGGTGATGTTTACACTAGAGACAGTAATCAGCTGGCTCGTTACTCTCCAGGGCCCAGTAGGAACATCTAATGAGAGTTTGCTTCGAGGAGGGTGGAGGCCGGCCCCTACCCTGTCCTTCCCCTGGAGTAACACACAGGATGCGGTTCCTCCCCTTCATTTCAGGGCAGGGTCATTACAGACACCGCTGGATGCCCGCAGGTGAGGCGAGGCTCCTGGGGCAGCCTGAGGGGTTCAGATGGGCCTCATTATCAAGATTTAAGTTCCTGGAGAAGCGCCCATTCTCCACCTCGCCTGCGGGCACCTGCACATTCAGGCTCCTGCCTGTGCCCTCACCTGCCCAGAGTGAAGGTGCGATTGACCCACTGGGAGAAGAGTCCCGGCGCCATAGCCAGCGGTCACATCCCCCTAAAGAAATGTTTCTGATCATCACGGCTGGCACTGAGATGAGAAGAGGCCCGTGATGACCTCTTGGTGTCTCACTGGCCCTGCACGCAGTGGACAGCTGCCCATAACATGCACTGGGGCAGCACCCAATGCCTGACCCCTGAGAGCCACTTCCCAACTCCACAGGGAATCGCACCTTCCCCTGGTCAATGCCAGGGGGTGAATTTCCCAGCTACAGGCCCACAGCAGAAGGACACAGGGACGGGCCACTGAGGCTCCACAAACAGGAGCCCACACCGAAGGCCCCATGAACAGACACGGGGAGCCAGGTGTCATGAAGATCAGAGCGGGAGATCACGGGGGAAAGTTGGTTCCCACGCTTTCAGATGATGAGGGTCAACAGCTGTTTTTGGTGCTGGTTTTGTTGGTTTCTTAAAAGAAAGAAAATCAGTGTGGGAATTAGAGATAGACATTATGTCTTCAAGGGGGAAAGCATCACAGAACGGTCTGTCTTCAGGGAATGGTGCGGGCTGATACAGGAAAACGCCATCCAGAAAGCATCACAGAACCGTCTGTCTTCAGGGAATGGTGCGGGCTGATACAGGAAAACACCTGCAGGCAGCACGCAGTGGGAGCACCAATAATTACCTCTTCGGGGACAGTGCCTGGGTGCCCAGGGATGTTTTGCTCTGATTCAAATCACAGGCAGGAAACTATTTGATGTAAGTTTGCAGCCTACAATACCGGATGGTGTTTTTTTGAAAACAACACACAGAAAATACACAGAATGCCGGAGGAACTTCCAGTGGGGATGGGAATCAGACACCGGATGTGGACCACGTGTGTTGTTAGGAGGAAAGCTGGAATTCTAGGGCACTATTTTTTTTTTCTTTTTTTTTGAGATGAAGTCTCGCTCTGTCACCCAGGCTGGAGTGCAGTGGCACAATCTCAGCTTACTGCAACCTCCGCCTCCGGGGTTCAAGTGATTCTCCTGCCTCAGCCTCCCGAGTAGCTAGGATTACAGGCATTTGACACCACATCCAGCTAATTTTTGTATTTTTAGTAGAGTCAGGGTTTCATCATGTTGGCCAGGATGGTCTCAAACTCCAAACCTTGTGATCCACCCACTCGGCCTCCCAAAGTGCTAGGATTACAGGCGTGAGCCACCGCACCCAGTCTCTAGAGCACTATTACTGTGTGGCTGTAACAATGATCAGCCTGCACAGTTATCACTGCAATGAGTAAAATGCTTGACTGAGCTGCAGTTGGTGTGGAATATTGTAGATTGGTATCCATTTGGGGGCTGGAAGGAGGATTTTTAATTAAGGAACTGTCAACAGCCAGAGGCCCAGAAAGATTTGAATCTTTGGAGAATTGGCCATGCCTCTCGCGAAGGGCTGCCTGGAGGAGGAGCCCTTGGCATGCAGCAGCCTGCACACTCGCTTTGTCCTGATGGGATCGACTTGTGAAATGATCCTGCACTCCCAAAAAGGCAAGACCTGTTCGGCCACTCACTAATTTACTAGATCATTCCGTGGTTACTCTGCCCACTGCCTGCGTGGGACATAGTAGAGGGGGAGGCACTCAGCGAACCTATGGGTGGCCCACGGGCAGGACATCCTGGAGCACATGGTAGGCTGTGGATCGCCAGCTATCATGGCGCAGGGCTTGTCCAAAAGCCTCATTCGAGGATCTAACCTAATGGGAGGCAGAAATGCTCAGGGCCGACCTTGCCGAAGAAGCAACGACTGACCTGAGTGCTGAGTGCTGAGACCTGCGTGCTGAGTACTGAGACCTGAGTGCTGGGTGCTGAGTGCTGAGACCTGAGTGCTGAGTGCTGAGACCTGAGTGCTGGGTGCTGAGTGCTGAGACCTGAGTGCTGAGTGCTGAGACCTGAGTGCTGAGTGACAAGTGGGTTTCCAGAGTTGAAGGGGAGCAAGCCTCAAGGCAAAGGCATACATGCGAAACAAGTTCAGTGAGCTGGAGAGAGAACCCAGAGATGCCGTGAGCAGGGAGAGTGTGGGCCATGACTTGAGAGGAGTTTGGAGAGTATGGGGTGCCCACATACTGTTTCTAAACGGATCTTGTCTAGAAACCGACAAGCGGTCGGTGTGCATGGAGGGCTTTGGGCGCAGGGGCGGACGAGGCTGATGAACAGAAAAGCCCACTCAGGCTCCGCATGAAGAGCAGGCCGCAAGGAGTCTCGTCCTGTGGCTCCCACAGAGGCCACGTGACCCTGGCTGAAGCAGTGGCCGTGCAGAGAGAGAATTCAGTGAGACGCACTCACGAGGACCTGGCAGGCTGGAGAAAGGAGGACGAAGTGACTGTGGCCCGGGTGCTGGGTTTGGAAACTGGATGAGGAAACCCAGGACGCAAGTGTTTCAGGAGGAGGGAATGTTGTGGGTGTGGGAGGCCTTGGGGCAGAGGCCATGCAGGATGAGGTCTGAACAATGTCCCTTCACCTGGGTGCCAGGAGGGAGACCCTCACTGAGCTCTGAGAGGGGCGTTTCGGTCGGGCAACTCGGCTGCATGCTCCACATCCCATAGCAGGGGCAACAGGTGAGCAGAGGAGAAAGGCACGAGGCAGTGGACGGGTGCCCAAGGTGGCAGGAGCAGTGGGTGGGTGCCCGCATTGGCAGGGGCAGTGGACAGGTACCAGCACTGGCAGAAGCAGTGGATAGGCGCCCATGGTGGCATGAGGTAGTGGACAGGTGCCCACATTGACAGGGACAGTTGACGGGTGCCCACAGTGGCAGGAGCAGTGGATGGGTGCCCACAGTGGCAGGGGCAGTGAATGGGTCCCTGCAGTGGCAGGGTTCAGTGGATGGGTGTCCGTGGTGGCAGGGGGCAGTGGACGTGTGCCCGCAGTCACAGGGGAGCAGAGAGCGGCTTCCCAGCCATGCACTGGTGGTGGAGATACCCTGTCCTTTGCCCTGCGCGTGCCCCTGAACTCTGCCCTCTACATGCAGCAGCACTGCCCGCAAGTCTCACAACCAATAGTTTCTGCTGACATCATTCTGTCTCCTGGGGAAGCCTCCCCCTCCCGTGGAAGCTACTGAGTTGCAGGGGCAGAGGGGCTCCAACAAGGGCTATTTTTTAAATGGGGGAGATTTGAAAATGTTTAGAATCTGGTGATAAGGGTGTCGGTGAGGGGAAAACTATGGAAGGGGTCACAGGAGAGGTGACGTTGCATCGGAAGAGTGGAAGGGTGTGGGGCCCAGGGCCAAGGATGGCCATAGCTACTGTGCAGGGGCGGATTCAGGCAGATGTCTCGTGGGTGCTGATGACCCCAGGGAGTCAGATTTCTCAGGTCCTCGCCTTCCCTAATCTTCCCCCTCAATCTGTGGGGGACTCGCAGTGTTGGGCATGGTGCATGGACTGATTGGAGGATTTGTGTTGGGGATGGTGCATGGACTTATTGGAGGATTTGTGTTGGGGATGGTGCATGGACTGATTGGAGGATTGGTGTTGGGCATGGTGCGTGGACTGATTGGAGGATTTGTGTTGGGGATGGTGCGTGGACTGATTGGAGGATTGGTGTTGGGCATGGTGCGTGGACTGATTGGAGGATTTGTGTTGGGGATGGTGCGTGGACTGATTGGAGGATTTGTGTTGGGGATGGTGCGTGGACTGATTGGAGGATTGGTGTTGGGCATGGTGGGTGGACTGATTGGAGGATTTGTTGGGGTGGTGCTGCTTGGCTCCTGCAGTCAGACCCACCTCACAAGCAACATCTTGTCCCAAAAACTAGTCCAAAGCAAAGCTACATTGTGGGGAAAGAGAGAACCGTGGGAACCTAGGAAGGGACAGACCACAGGGGCAGGACGAGTCCAGTCTGGAGCTCATAGAGGGCAGATCCCGCTTGGGACCACATGCCACTGGGTAAATACACTTTCAAAATCCCAATTCCACACATTCTGCTGGTGTCAACAGAATCCACTTCCCTCTCAGGCCATCATTGCCTCATTCTAAAATCTGTGGTTCAGCTTCTGACCAAACATGACAGCATCTAACTGTTTTCACTACAAAGGGCATCACCTGTCCAGGAAAGGGCTTTCTCACCCAACGGGCAAGAGTGCCATCAACCAGCATGACAGGAGGGGTGTGGGTGATGGGAAAACCATGGAGAACTTGAGAGGGCTCACACCGGGCGCTGCTGGGATGACCAAAGACCTCAGACAAGTAACGTGAAATTCTATACCACGGTTTACCTCTATAAAACAGGAGTAAAAGTGTGTTCCTCACACCATTATCATCAGCAGTACTTTGGCGCATCCATAAGTCCTTCCTGAGAGCCTCACATACAGCAGGGACTCAATAAGTAACTGCTCATAGATTCACGTGCACTGTCAGATCAGTTACATAAATATGAAATGTGGCCAGGGGTTCCAAACATCGATACCAACGCAGCTTGAAAGGAACCAGAAATGGAGGAACAGTATTTGATATGTCCCTTTAAAAATCTGGGTAGACCAGCAGTTTAGGAAGTGAACACGGGCACTCACAGGAGGCGCGGAGCTGCTGTATCGCACAGTAACATTAATGCAGTAAGCTCAGGTGTGTTGGCCGAAGACACAGCCATTGGCGAGAACGTAGCCCACAGCCGCGGACACGAGTTTGTCGAGAGGCTGCACATGCATTCGGGTTATTCACAGCCACCTCCAAGAGGGGAGTCCATAAAGTGTGGGGGCTGTTATTGATGGAGGCAGAATTATATGCCTCTTACTGCACAGATATATCAGCCTGGCATTTTTCTACTTACTCCAGGATTTTTATAACGTTCAGTTCAATGGCATTCTTGCTTAGTGAATAATTTTAATTTGTGCATCCAGAATGATAAATTTATGAATGTTGATGACAGCAAAGACCCATCCCTCATCGGCTTCTCCCCGTGCAGCTGGGCCCCTCTCCCCTGTCGTCCATCTGATGTTCTTGCCAACACCCCTTCAAATATCTCACGCTGGACGGCTCTCCTGCTCCTCTGATGAGATGTGTGATCAAACGGAAGAAAATTATTCTGATAGACTATCTGACCCCCGTCTTACCAAACCAAATAGCATCTCACAATATTATATTTTTAACTTTCTAATCATCCTGTTATGTATATCATCCTGTTATGTATATCAAGTCTTTTTACAGCAAGTCTTTCTAATCATCCTGTTATGTATAGCAAGTCTTCTTACAACAGAAACAGCATTCTTCTTGCCAGTCATGTTAAGGGCATTGATTTTAATTTAGTTTTTGTGGATTATTGTGTTTGCTTGATTTAAAATGAAAATCAAGGAGGAAGAAGTTTTTAAATATCATCAGGCAGTTTGCTGAGTTACTACTGTAAGCAAACCCCGTAAAAATCATCAAAACAGAATCCTAGGCATAGGAAAGAAAACTCCCTCATAACCACCGATCTATGTGGGGATGAGAATGTCTCTATAAGGAACGCTAGACATGTATTTAAAATACTAGCAGAGTCATATCGTAAATGAGGATGCGATAAGTACAAGAAGCAGTTCTCCACAAGGAATTGGAAGTGAGATTCTGTGGCGAGCACTGTAGTTTTAAACTGAGGGAAGCGGAGGGAGAAGTTCCTGTAAGAATTCTTTCCCTTTGTCATTCTCCTCAGGCTCCTGACCAGTTTCTGGGTTAAAGAGAAGGGCAGTGCCTCTCTCGTCTGTGGTCACTTGGTTAATATCATCCCCAAATGCGGAAGCTTCCAAAAAGCTGGAGTGGTTTCGTTTGGAAGTCAGAGCTGTGCACAAATAAGTTATTTTCTCTATTTCACATAATTATTAACAAATGCAAATTAAGATGCAGGGGATGTTTCTATGCCAGGACTCACCTGTGGGGAACTGTGAGGCTGATGAGGCAAGCAGCGAAGTGGCTGCCTGTGCCCGCTCACGACCCCTCCACGCACCAAGTGCGTGAGTCAGGGAGGTGCCAGGAGGAGGCGGGAACAGCTGCTTCATGTCATCCGGCTCAGTCCGTGTGTGTTGCTAGAAAGGAACACCCGAGGCTGGGTGATTTATGAGGAAGAAAGGTTTGTGCAGCCATGGCTCTGCAGGCTGTACAGGAAGCGTGGCACCAGCATCTGCATCTGGTGAGGCCCCAGGAAGCTTCACTCGTGGCCGATGGGGAGGGGAGCGGCCTGTGCAGAGATCACGTGGTGGGAGAGGCGGTGGGAGGGGCCAGGCTCTTCCTACCAATCAGCTCTCACTGCAACACACAGAGCAAGAACTCATTCATAACCAGGAGGACAGCACCAAGATAATCGTGAGGGATCCACCCCTGACCCCAGCATCCCCCACCAGGCCCCACCTCCAACACTGGGGATCACGTTTCAACATGAGATCTGGAGGGGACAAACCTCCAAACCATAGCACTGACTGTGCCACTCTTAAGAGACAGTTGGACAGCTCCTTGCCTCCTCTACAAGACTAGGGATGGGGTTCCAGGCATGCTCGTTAATGACTGCCCCATCTGCACCACCTGCCCCATCTGCCCCACCTGCCCCACCTACCCCACCTGCCCCAGGCCATCTCTCCAACTTCCCACCTGTGTCCTTTCCAAATCCCAGGAGCAGCCGCGCAAGTGCAAGACCGCCCTGCTGCCTTAGAACAAGGCTTTCCCCAGAAAGCTGTCTCTACCTAGGACATGCCCTGTCCCTCGCTTCCTGAGCAACAGCCCCTCAACACAGATGCACATGCACGCATACACACATACACAAACACGTGCATACATGCACATGCACATATATGCATGCACACACGCACATAAGCACACACGCACACACACCCATACGTGCTCACACACAGACACACGTGCACATGAGCATACACGCTCACACACATGCACATACACGCACATAAACGCACGCAGACACGCGCACACACACAAGCACATGAACATACACATGCGCACACACGTACATGCTCACATACGCACATACACACACATAAACACACAAGCACATGAGCATACACATACACACCCATACATGCACGCACACGCATGCACACATGTTCAGGCCAGCTGCCTCGGCTAGCTCTGTGCAAATGGTGGGCGTCTTCTGCAAGCCACCCTGTCTTCCCAGGCTGTCTTCCTCTCAGGACGCACATACAACCCCTCCGAGGTAACAGGACACAGATGCAACCCACAGAGCCGACAGGAAAACGTGGACCACCAGCGTCGGGCTGCTGATGTACTTTGAACTGAAAAGGCCCCCTAGATACCCACAGAACTGCACGGCTGAGGCGAAGAGAGACCATGAGAAACAGAGATACCAATGTTTCAGTCAAGGAAAAAATTAGAGAAGAATGTGGAATAAAAAGAATCATAAAGTGAAATAAATGTTTTCAGATTTTAGATTTCAGATCCACTCCCGCAGATGAAATCGTGAGATTCCTGAAGAAAATAATTGCACCAGTATTTGATCATTTTACAGTTTTGATTATGCTTATTTCCAGTTTTCCAGGAAAGAAATCTTTGTGTAACCTCATATGCACGTGTTACAAGTAGAACCAGAAATTCCTCCTCCCCCAAACATACAAAAAGGAAAGCAATTATTTAAGTCAGGTACCTGACCTTTTT